>NC_000003.12:106129816-106432846 GCF_000001405.40 Homo sapiens
TGCAAAAATGCAGAATTATATTCATACAAAGTATTATAGTTAACTGGTTAGGTTGGTGAAGAGGTTAAGGGAGATTATTTCACTCTATTTGCCAAACTGTAATTTTGTTTCTGTAACTGGATTTATGTTTAAATCTATTTAACTTTTTACCTGGCAGGTCTGTATTATCTGTCCTTGGTTTTAATTTCTTGCAATTTCATAAGCCACATGACAGAAAGTGAAGTTGTATTCATTTTTCTCTATTCTAACATACATCATCTAAAACAGTTCAGTGATACTACAGAGTGGATTGCCCTAGAATATGGTAAATATTCTAATGGAAGTATGAAGAGAAACACCCAAAAAAGAGTGCTCGTGCCCCTTGAGTAATGAGAAACCTGGGAAAAAACGTCAAACAGGAAATATTTTTTAGAAGAAGTAAGGATGGCTAAGATGGTGGAAGATTTTCTGAGGAATTTTGAGCATATTTATTTTACTTTCTCTTTCTTCTTAATAGCAATATTTTTTCAGGATATTTTCTGGAAAAGTTGAGAATTTGATGAGCCCATACAGTGGGAGGGATTAAGATTGACATAATAGGAACACATGTGATTCAATTGCCCAGGACATTTTTGTTTTATTTTAAGTAGATATTTTTTTTCCTCCCAAATCAGAGATACATTCTTCTTTAACAAGAGAATTGAAGCCAATTCTGAAATTTTAATTCAAACCCTTAAAGTTACACAAGAACCAGAAGAAAAGCATTAAAAAATTCCAGAAAGAGAAATGTCTTTCAATTATTTCCTAGACTTTGATGACTCAGGAAGAATTGTGTGTGAGAAAAAAAAAATGTAAAGGTCATGTTTAACATTCAGATATAAACAGAGCAATTCCTTTCTTTAAGGATACTTTTAAACAAATACTTGAAATAAAACTTATTGCTTAAAATTTTCTATTAAATTATGATGGTAATTCTTATATAAGTGAGAGACTGATAACTATTTTTATTTTTCTAATTGACTAGATTTCCAGGAAATGTCAGTCCATCGTCTTTCTCATTTGTCAGTCTGACCTACATTAGACTTTTTTTTCTTCTTTAAATATTCATCTGCTTAAAATGTTAAGAAAATTACTCATGGTTTCTTGGAAAGCTTCCCCACCCCCTCCCATTCTCATCAGATATAGCAGGAATTCTCAGGAAGTGCCTCCTACAGCCAGATCTGCCTTCTTCAGGCACATTTTCTCCTGCACTGAGCCTGCTGCAGTGGGTTACCATCTCACAAAGATATTTTTTGCAGTTTGTCTCGACAAGTTTATCCACTTGCAACCCAACACTTGATACCAAGCCAAGGGGCATCACTTTGTACATATTTAGTGCATGTAAGGGTGCAGCTGCATAGTGCATTTGACTTTTAAGGAATACATCCATTGGATTTACAGCGACATATTTTCTTAGACTGCTGGTTCAGCCGACTCAGCACAGTGCAAGGACTGTAAGACATAACAATTCCATGCTAGCTCACAGGCCCCCAGAGTGCACAGAGACTTTCTTTAAACTCCTAAGGCAAGCACTGGGATGTTATAAAACTTCAGAGCGAAGTCTTTTCTCAAGGAAACTGATTCTTCACACTGGGATAGTGTATGCTTATCCACAGTGGTGAAATTCTTGAATTTAGACTAGAAATTGGATTATAAACTGCCTCTGGGCAGGTAGCAGCAGCTTTAATCATTTAGGCCAGATGCTTCCATCCCGGAGGAATAACTGCTGAATAAGTGAGAAAAGGAAGTTTATTTCCCAAGCTGTCCTCTTCTGTCTCATGTAAACCTCTCTCTCTCTCTCTCTCTCTCTCTCTCTCTCTCTCTCTGTTTTTTCATTAGCTAGTCGTCTAGGGAACAAGAGTCCTATCAAGAGAATTTGCCAAAGCTAAGCCCAAGAATAAAAGCTTATTTGGCAACACTGGATATCATAAGCATACATTTTTTTAAAAGTTTTAAAATATTTTCTGTGAGAAACCAATTTTTGTGAATTCAAATGATTTTATAATTACTTTCCAACATAAAAAATACATTTACAGCGTGGCCAAAAAATATCTGTTCTTAAAATATTGACATATTTTCTAAATACATTTTATGAGCCTTCAGACATTTTCTGGTACACTGTGAGAACTCTAATAAAAGCACAAGTGCTCCAGATGTCTTACTATTTGTTTAAAAATTTTTAAATGGTAAAAAAAAAATATATAAAAAAAGAGCAGTAAAGGCAATCGATATTTGTGTAAAATATTAGTTTCATCTGCCCAAGGCTTTAAGAGATTTCAAAGACTGCTGTGTGCACATGTATGTGAATATTCTGAAACAAAATTTAAGAATCTTCCTGAATTAAGTAGAAATAATGGTTAAGTCTTTTTTAAAATGTTAAATTACAGGGGATTTTTTTTTGTTGAGGAAGTCCATTATATGTATTTTCCACTCACAAACAAAACACCAAACTTGAACTTTACTTTTTTTCTTGACCCTTAGACATGTGATAAAATATTTTGGGTACAATATTCGTCATTCTCAAAGTCAGGTACAATCTTCACAAGACCTCCTATGATGGAAGGAAAAGAATAATCAACTCAATGTAGTTTGGTTTTTAGTTTCCTAACATTTTTTCTTTAAAGTTCACATTTGTAGTAGGAGATAAATGAGCTCTAAACCACTCTGGTGGTATTTGTTAATTACTTGTTAAAAATATCTTTAACTGAAACGAGTTGTTGAGAAATTTTGTTGGGATGAATTTTTAGAATTTAGAATAATAAATCTTTCATTTCATCTGTCTGAGTTATGAGCTCACACTCAGAAATTTACAGACTTCTTTCTAGTCCTTTGCTTTCTGGGATTTTCCAGCACTAGACAATGACACAGTGGGAAGAAACACTAGCTGTGAGTTCAGTGAGCTGACCCAATAAGATTAAAATTGCTTTAAACAAAATGCTAAGAAAAACAAGCGTTGTCAATTTTGATCTAATGTTCATGTTCTGCCATCATGTAGCTGTGGGATCTTAGGCGAGCTACCTTGATTTTCTGGGATTTAATTTTCTCATCTGTAAGTAAGATGTTTGATTAGATTAATTCTTTCAAGCCTTTATATTTTAAGGTAAGGAAGCATATTCTATAAAACTGATGAAATCAAGAGTTCCATATTGGGAAGATTCCATAGGTTGGAAGATGTAGAAACCAGTTTACTTAAAATTTCACTTCTTCAAAAAATTACTCTGCCCTGTGAGGGATTTCTTTAGATCACAGTTTGAAAACTATTGGGCCAGATATTCTCCAAACCCCCTACCACCTCAAATATTCTGTGATTCTAGATGCTATTCCAGAGGTATGTAAAAATTTGGAATTTAGAGTTCAAATAGACTTCAGAATTTATTAACTCAATATCCTCATTTTAAAGATATTAAAATTAAGAACCAATTTTATCAAGTTCCTAAAAGTTAGATCCTTAAACCTAGCACTTTCTAAACACACTGGAGCCAGATTAACCAGAATGGATTCCCTAGATTGCCAGGATTTTTTCTAAAAGGAAGAAATGATAGAAGTCAGCTACTCCCTCACCTGCATACATTGTTCAAATTTGTTTTATCTGTAGGCTTGTGGTTTAAGATTATGCAGAGGAAGAGAACATAAAGGGTAAGTCTGAGAAAGTGGATTATGCCATGGGGTATCCTCACCTGAAAGACTCAAAGAAAGTATATTAATTTTATGGCTCCATTGAAGCATTGATTGGATCTGTTTGGAGAAGTGTGAGACCTCCAGATTCAACTGGAACCCAAAATAATCTTGAGGTTCTATTATTCAAATCACTCCACCCACGTTTGGACTTTTCTTAACAAAGGCACTATTGAAATAATTATTGTGAGTTTATAGCAGAAGGGTTTTTATTCCAGAATATTCTGTATGTACAAACGGTATATTTCCCTTTTAGATTTTTTTTCAATATGGCACTACTTTCTTGGAAAGAACAAAGTCTGAGGCTTTACAGATAAGAAGTAGCTGTGAGAATTTCTACTGTGAGGTGCTAAAGTGAAAAACAGAAAGCAATTGCATTGGTGAGCTTTCCTAGAGTTGTGTCCTGGAGTGATTGAGATAGCTCTGTAAGTCATGCACCACTCCTAAACTATATTTATGTGTGATTTCTTCTTCTTCTTCTTTTTTCTTTTTTGTATACCCTACCTTAAACTGGGAGTTAAGAAACTAGGTTTCTAATCTTAGTTCCTACCTAAGCTCACGGTGTGGCCCTGGGCAAATCAATTAACTTTTGTCACCTTATTTAGACATAACATCAATATGCTAAAACTCGAAAAACAGACATTTTCAAAGTGACTTGAACACTACGGCCAAAAAGATATTACTTTGGAGAAATCATATGTTCAAAGAATTTCAATGATTATTGGCAAGAAATGGTGAATTTCACTGGTGATGTCTGCCAGTAAGCTGGTTCTATTTTGGAGGACGTGATAAGATGTAACAATAAATTTGGAAGTAAGTGGCCCCAGTGAGAAAATTACATTTCAAACATTTCTTCTGGACTCACTAATGGAACACAAAGTATGTCAGTAGAGACTAAAAATGTAAAGGTAGTTTGAAAAATATTTAACCTTGAAGAAGAATAAATTTATTATGTTTCTAGGAGTGTTCTAGGAAAATATTGTCTAATCAGAATAGTGAAATGCTGGAATCACTTCTTTTTTAATTGGTTTACTAACCCATGTCTTCAATAGGTCTCCTTAAGAGCAAGGATTCAATCAGCTACAACCCTGAAGGTGATCTTTACACATATACCTTGCTTAGCACTTAGTGGCTACTCAATAAACGGTAATTCATTGAAATCTTGACATATTTTATTAACTTCACTGTGGAGTGGTAGTTGAGGGAAGAACAAAGCCATTTCATGATTTGGATAAGGGTTAGACAGGTAGAGCATGTAGGCATTGTTCTTGGCCAATAATAGAATTACCTAGTTATTGTTCAGAAAGGGAAAAGAGGGGGAAAAAATTGACCCTCAGGCTTTTTCATATATTATCTTCTTAAACAGGCAATTTATTACGAAATCTTTCTCAAGTCATAATGTATACAATTATACTCCTACTAATTTACAGATTTGTTTGCCTGAAATAGATGAAAATGTTCAGTCTTGAGTTCCTATTTTAAAAGACTGGAGGGAGGGCAAGATGGCTGACTAGATGTAGCCAGGTGGGACAGCTGCCACCAAGGGGCCAAGATCCAAGATGACTGGCGCACTCCTAACAGATCTTCAGAAGAAGGCACCGAGAGTGAACGGAGGGAAGACACAGAAGCTTGGCTGAAGTGGGAGAAAGCTGGGAACTCTACTTGGGGCTAATGTGCACCAGGACTTGTTCTGGCCCCCAACGACTCTGGAGGAACGAGTGAGTTGAACTGGCAAAGAGCAACTCGCTCTCACCGTGGGCCTCTGGAACCCTGGCAAGAGGAGACCCCTCAACCACCATGGACACTGGAGTTAAGAGAGAGAGCTGCTTATAGAAGTGGTAGGAGCAGCAAGCCAGCTGATGTGGAGCCCAGAGGGTTTAGGGTGAGAGCGCCTGTAGCAGAGCATGGCCAGGGAGGTCATACCCCTAGGCTTGACTGGCTCCCATAGGAGACTTTAGCCCTGGAGAAACTGTCAGACCTGAACTCTGCAGGGCCGTCTTTCCCCTCAGAGGGGGCAATCCGAACTGAACACCTCTTGGGCAACTGGCCTCTCTCAGGGCCCTAGCCTGGCCGCGACTGCTTGCAGGGGAAGTCTGGGGTGCCGTGGCTGCCACCTCATAGCCTCTCCGCTGGCGATCTTTGCCAGATCAGCGGAGGGCTCCAGCAGGGCGGCCCCCATGGCTACGCACCTGCCCCTCAGGCTCCCTCCGCACACTGCAGCCTCCCCTGGGCCCACAGCAACTTCCCGCATTGCATTTTTGGCACACGTCTGTGTGGGTGGGCTTTGCTTTCTTGCCTGGCCAGCAGGCAGGAGTGTAGTCCACTCATCCGCCCGCTGCTTACTGCCACTGCAGTCAGAGCCTTGGCGGGCAAAAAACCAGCCAGCCCGGTCCCCACCTGTGCCCCAGCCTTGCGCTAACACTGCCACAGGAGTAAAACTAGGCTCGGAGCAGAGCAGATCCTCCCCGGCCCTCAGCGATCACTCCTGCTTGTGGGGCACACGGCACACAGACCTGAGCCAGTCAGTGACCTGCCCCGAGCCAAGACCACAACCAGCCCAACTCGCAAACTGTTGCCAGCAGGTGTCCGCCACACTTTCCCAGCTGCACTGCCTCCACCACTACGTGAATACTGTCAGGGAGGCAGGCACCCCGGCACCCACTGGCACCCTGCTGCAGCAGAAACTACTGCTGCTGCTGGCACATGTGAACGAGGACGGACTCTGCAGTCACTACACTAGTAAACACTTTGGCTGACACCACCCATTGGAATGTAGTGACCAGCAATCTGGGAGCACCTCAGCCTCCCAAACTCAGTGGATTCCTAACTTCGAGGAGCCAGAGAACAAAGTTGGGGCCCCATACAAGTCCCCCAGAGTTACAGCACACAGTCCAAGAGTTGGGAGCTGAGCGCTGGCCCCCTAAAATCTTCCAGGAAAAAAGCCAGTTGGCTGAATCCACCTTATAAGCCTTCAAGGTCATCAAACAGGATAAGAGAAAAAAAAAAGCATCCAAAGATCAGCAACCTCAAAGATTGAAGGAACATAGGATACAAAGATGAGAAAGACCAGCGAAAGAACCCTGACAACTCAAAAAGCCAGAGAGGTGTCTTTCCTCTAAACAACTGCGTCAACTCTCCAGCATGGGTTGTGAACCAGGCTGAGATGGCTGAAATGACAGAAATAGAATTTGGAACGTGGATAGAAACAAAGATCATTGAGCTAAGGAAGTATGTTGAAACTGAACCTATGGAAGCTAAGAATAGTGATAAAGCGATGCAAGAGCAGACAGACGAAATAGCCAGTATAGAAAAGAATGTAACCTGATAGAGCTGAAAAACACACTACAAGAATTTTATAATACAATCACAAATATTAATAGCAGAAGAGACCAAGCAGAGGAAAGAATCTCAGAGTTTGAAGACTCTCATTCTGAAATAAGACAGCCAGACAAGAAAAAGGCACAAACAAATGGAAAAACATTCCATGCTCACGGGTAGAAAGAATTGTTAAATAGCTATACAGCCCAAAATAATTTACAGATTCAATGCTATTCCTATTAAACTACCAATGACATTCATCACAGAACTAGAGAAAACTAGTTTAAAATTCGTATGAAACCAACAGAAGGCCCAAATAGCCAAGTCAATCCTAAGCCAAACAAACAAACAAACAAAAAACACAAAAAACACAGCTGGAGACATCACACTAACCAACTTCACACTATACTACAGAGCTACAGTCACCAAAACAGCATGGTACTGATACAAAACAGACAAATAGACCCAAGGAACAGAATAGAAAACCCAGAAATAAGGCCACACACCTACAACTATCTGATTTTCTACAAAGCTGACAAAAACAAGCAATGGAAAAAGAACTCCCTGTTCAATAAATGGTGCTAGGATAACCAGCTAGCCATACGCAGAAGATTGAAACTGGACCCCATCCTTTGCCATATACAAAAATTAACTCAAGATCAATTAAAGACTTAAACGTAAAACCCAAAACTATAAAAACCCTGGAGGACAACCTAGGCAATACCATTCTGGACCTAGGAATGGGCAAAGATTTCATGACAAAGACTCCAAAATCAATTGCAGCAAAAGCAGAAATTGACAAATGGGATCTAATTAAACTTAAGAACTTCTGCACAGCAAAAGAATCTATTAACAGAGTGAACAGACAACCTACAGAATGGAAAGAAAATTGCAAACTACACATGTAATGAAAGTCTAATATCCAGCATTTTTCAAGAACTTAAACAAATTTACAAGAAAAAAAACAAACATCCCCATTAAAAAGTGGGCTCAAGACATAAACAGACACTTTTCAAAAGAAGACATACATGAGGCCAACAACAAGCATATGAAAAAGACTTAGGGCTGAGGAGTTTATCTCCCAGTGCAAGACAAGAAATGGGGATGTGAGGCCAGGTGTGGTGGCTCACACCTGTAATCCCAGCACTTTGGGAGGCCCAGGGGGTGGATCACTTGAGGCCAGGAGTTCAAGACCAGCCTGGCCAACACAGGGTGTTTCACAGGGTGTTTCACAGGGTGAAACCCTGTCTCTATTAAAAATACAAAAAAAAATCAGCCAGGCATGGTGGCAAGCGCCTGTAGTCCCAGCTATTCTGGAGGCTGAGACACAAGAATCACTTGAACCTTGAACCCAGGAGGCGGAGTTGCAGTGAGCCAATATTTCACCACTGCCCTCCAGCCTGAGTGACAGGGTGAGACTCTGTCTCATTAAAAAAAAAAAAAAAGAAAAGAAAAGAAAAGAAAGAAACGGGGGTGTGGTATTTTCAAATCTTTCTCATAGACCCTCTTTCTAGTACTGACTGGGCATCAATATATGTGGTTTTTAAACCTTTGGAGAAACAAAACATTAATAATATTCAGTGCATAGAAACTGCAGAAAACACAAAGAATTAATCATGCCTGGTGACTTGCCAAATTACCGATTTCTGTGGTTATATAAAGAGGATATTGGAATAAATGCTGTGAAAAACTCTAGAGAGGTCAGTTTTCATAAATAAGTCATAAACTCCATGGAGGTGTAGGAAACTGGCCAAATACTGCAAGCTACGCAATGCCCAAAGATAAACCTAATAAAGAGAAAGGGATTGGGAAGAAGAAATAAGGAGGGTCTACATTAAAGAATTCAGTACTGCGCTTGGGTACAGGAGGGATTTGGAAATAAGATTGTAGTTTGAGTTACTACAAATAAAGCTAAAAAAGAAAGCGTGCCAACAATTTAATAAAGCTAAAAAAGAAAGAGTGCCAAAAATTTAATAGTAATATCCCGCAAATTGAAGCAAGCAAAGGAACTATATCTCTTGGTTTCAAAATGGAAACAAACATAAAATCTCATTCTTTCACAATTACCTAAATAGGAATTTGCAATCAAAGTGCTATGATTCAGTTGAAATTAATCTTGCTTCATTAATGGAAGTACTAAGGCAGCAAAATAAGAGTGTAAAAGCTAAGGGAATATTTACTTAAGAGAACACCCTATATTAAGCTTTCATATTTTTTCCTTTTTAATGTAATTGTAGCAGCGAAACTAGATGGAATAATGCGTGCTATCACAACTCATTTCTATGTTTGTTTAAAAAGGTTACAATTAAATAAATTACTTGCTATACATGTTTATAATGACATTTTCATAGAATTATGGCTACAGAAGACCTTCGGTGTTTATCATCTGAGTCTGTTTATATGTGTTTGCCTCAAACATCTTTTACTGCAGTACATACTCTGAAAGGCTTCATGTTATGGATTTTTATACTATTTTATCATTCCTGAGTGATATGAAATATGATTTTTAGAAAAAATATATTTATATTAGGTTAGAATTATTAAAGATAGTGTTTAAGGTTTAGCATGAACTTTAATAATAGTTAGGAAACTATTTAACTTCAAAGTAATTATGTGAGAAAAAGCTTGACTTAATGATAAACTTTAAGATGGCATTGTATCAAATCTGACATTAGGGCCAAATATACATTAAAATAAAGATTATACTTTAATAAAGATTTTCAGTATTAAAAATGAACAAAGCTGACATTGTGAGCTGCTGTTTGTAATTCTTTTAGCTTACACTTAAAAGAACTTCAACTTTAAAATTTCTGTGCTCTGTTGATAACTGAGGAGATGAAAGAGGATTTCAGCCTTTTATTTACTTTCACTTTTCCACATGAAATATATTGTGGTTATGGATAGTCTTTATTTCCAAATGCGCTATGATCAGTACCATCTTTTATCTTTTTAATATATATTTTTAAATTACTACAGAAATTATTATACGGCATGTGATGGTCTTTATCTGAAGGATATAATTTATAGATATAATGAAGATCCCTGAGGTGAATTTGCAAAATAATCATTTATTGTTCAACATTAAGTGTTCCTTGTGATTATGGTCTTTAACTATCATCCATTAGGGTGTAAATTGTTCTAGCAGTGTTCAGCTGACTGATAAAGATACTGAGAGAGAGACGGAGAGAGAGAGAGAATGCAAGCATGAGAGAGAGAACAGCATGTTAATCAGATTCCTACTCCCTGTTGTGCATACTCAAAGTGCATTCTGAGGTCCTAAAAATCTGTTCAGTTATAAAGGGGAAAATAATTATTTTTTGTTTGAAAAATTGTATTGAAAAGGAACTCCACTACCAACTTAAATAATCACAAACTTTTGCAATATATTTGTGAATCTTCAGATATTTAAGAAGCACAGGTGAAAAAAATGGAATTTAGAGAAGTTTTTGAAAGGCAAAATGCACTGAACAATTAAAGATATGATTTTATTCAGGCTACTGCAGCCTGGAAAATGTGCATTAATGAGGAACAGCTAAAAGAAAAGGAAGAAGGACTGGAGTTTTATAGAGGCAAGTAAACAAGGGAGGTAACTTCAGTTCTTATAGGACTGCAGAGAATGCATGGAGATGGGTCTTACATTTAAGGGCAGAGTAATCTCTTATGATTTCCCAGAACATGAAAATATGAGGCAATTTCTTATCCATCACTACTTTCAAAGAGTACAAAAGTCAGGTGACATTCAACATTTTCATTCTCCCTGTTTCAAAGATAAACATCATTAATCACTGAACAACTGAGAGGTAGTCATAAACCTTAGTGGGGTGAATGAAGCAAGGCCTAAGATATAGTCTTTCAGGGATTCTTTTGACAGTGTCCTGTAAAACCAGTTAAACAACCCATTGAGGGATGGTGGCAAAGTTGAGTTGTTTTAGATACCTGAAGATTAGACATCTAAAAAAAGAGAGATCTAAAATGAAAAAGAAATATTAATATAAAACATTGTATTAGCGAGCCAGGAGCTGAACCACTTAGGGTAACAAATCCAGTGGATTCCAAGAAGTCAGAGGGTAAAAATCTTTTGGTTGTAAAGCAGTGTTCTTTGAGTTTCTCGTAGCTCTTGGGCTAGGCTGTCAATATTCTTGGTGATGTTGTCCACATCTCTTGCAGAAGGTCATACATGACCCAACCTTTTGGCTTGACTTTTTTTGCGTTCTAGTTAGAGACTTGCCCAGGAAGAAATCCAGCCCAGGCGTGGTCTACTGTGATGATAATATTTTGAAGTTAATATTTCAAGGCTTCTGTAGACTATGGGGAAATGAGCAGGATATAAGGCAATGAGAATCTGTGCATTCAGATTTTAGTTCTAAATGAGGCCAAGTCAGGAAAAAGGGAGATAAATTGAAAACATTAGTTTGAAAGGTTGTATTGAGTCAAGATTTCAAGTTACCCAAAGATCTTCGAGATTGTATTCAAACTTTTCTATGATAAAACGTAATTTATGATGAAAAAATTTTCTCAGAATAATGATTTAATTAGGTAAAACACAAATTTATACTCTTCGTAGTTTTAAACATTCAGGAGAACAAGGCCAGATGCAGTGGCTCAAGCCTATAGTCCCAGCACTTTGGGAGGCCAAAGTGGGAGGATCACTAATGCTACTTTATTTGTTCAGTAAATGTATGTAAGTTTAGGAAGAATATACTCAAGTAAAATAAAATTAGGTATACTATACTTGTGCTGAAAAATCAGAGAAAGCTTTTTTCACTAAACCAAAAATTTAAAACTAGTTTTGTTTGATGAAAACTTACTTGAATTATATTAACTTGAATTGTTAAAATAGTTCAAGGCTAGTTTCTATAATATCTTTTTTTTTGCACACTGAAACTATAAGATGTTCACTTTTCTTAGTTTCTGAGAATTTTAGGATTATTTAATTTATGTAAGTGCTTATTCCTTTCAAAGCCAATTAGAAAAGGATTCCTTTAATATAAAAGAGTTTGCAATCTAACTTATGAATACCATGTGGAATTAGGAAAATATTCCACCCAGTGAGAGGGAAAGGGCTTTATAAATTATAGACATATAAACATACTTTATACACACAGATGTAACTTCACTTCTAAAATTTTACTCATAAGTTGATCATAAACAGAAATACAAAATTTATATAAAAAAGCTGTTCTCTTTCTAGTGGGTCTGAATTCTTACTTGATTTGAGCTCATAATAGATACACAGAGATTTAAAAAACAGATTTTCTGTCATCTTTCACCCAGCAGAGACAAAATCTCTACAAACCATTCATTGGAGACCACCAAATGAGTGGTCAAATGGTTTATTTTTATTTTTTTAAAAAGAAGCCAGCATTAGAAATCAAGTGAGTGCTGAATAAAAATGAAATCAAATCCTTACCACACAACCAACAGACGAGACTACAGAGCACAAGACCAGATGTAGGACACACCATTGGGTCCCCGGACTGCCAGTTAGGAATGGAGCACCAAGGGACCAGAGAGGCCTCCTTATCAGGGTGGAGTAAATGGGGATCCGAAGGTGAGATCCAATCCCCTCTGAGTCTTGGCATCAAACTGTGAAAGACAAAATGCACGGGACAACTAGAAAAAAGATTTTATTCAGGTTATTGAAATAAAGACAACATTCATTCATGAGAAACAGCTTGACAAGAAAAGGAAAGGAGCCTGGGATTTTATAGAGGCGGGTAGAAAAGAGAGTCATTCAGGAGTCCCAATCTGAGGCACAGATAATTATAACTGTCCAAGTTCTCATCCTATTTAGTGGTCAACATGGATCCAGACCTCTAATTTCTAATAATTACTTCAGCCCTTTTTCTCAACCTTAAACATTTGTCCCTCAACAAGTCAAAATTAATGAAGTTTTCCCATAATTTGGAAAGGTAGGAAATAATAAACAGAAAAAAATAGTTGAAAAGTTTGAAAAGTGAAAGTACAGCTATGTCTCAAAGAAAGCATGATGATGGCTTTGGAGAATCTAATATTTCTTAGCCAATGATGGTGAGGTAGTTCCCTTTGGTGAAATGTGAACATTAGCCATTTCATAGTTCATTTCCTAAAGTCTAAGTATATGGATAAGGTCTATGCCTTTCCCACAGAGGTGTACAGGTAAGGTGTAATCAAGTTTGCTTACAAAATTTTTTTAAACTATGACCTTGGCAGAGATGTAGTTGTAATAGAAATTATATTCTGGAACTGTAAAAGCAACTAAATGTATAATTATTTGGCTGTTCTTCCTGCTCTTTCTCTGACTCTTCCCATATCTGGATCCTTCTTACTCATTGGATTTCAGGACAAAAAATGCTTTCTCAGAGATGGCTTTTGTGTTCATCTGTTTAAACGCAGTCCCCTTTCTTAGTCTTGTCATCTTCTAACAAATTACCATGTTTACTCATTGCTATGGTTTGGATATGGTTTGCTTGTCCCCACCAAATCTTATGTTGAAATAATGATCTCCAGAGTGGTGGTATTGGGAGGTGGGGCCTAGTGAGAGGTGTTGGCATCATGGGGGCAGATCCCTTGTAAATGGCTTGGTGCCATTCTCATGGGAGTGAATGAGTTCTTGCTCTTTTGAGACTGGGTTGCTTCTTGAGGGAAAGGGATTAGTCTCCCTCCGAGTGGGTTGTTATAAAGCCAGGACGCCCCTTGGCTTTGGTTTCTCTTCACATGTGCTCACTTCCCTTTCTACCTTCTCTGCCTTACGTGGCAGCATAAAGGCCCTCACATTAATCCGAGCAGATACCAATGCCGTGCTTCTTGTACAGCCTGCAGAACTGTGAGCCAAGTAAACCATTTTTCTCTATAAATTACCCAACCTCAGGTATTTCTTGATAGCAATACAAAATGAACTAAGACACTCATTAAAAGCAAATATCAAATCTCAACATTCTAAATGTTTTTCTTACTAGTTTGTAATTTGCCAACCCTCACTAGACTATAAGTTAAAATGGGGCAGAGACCTAGCCTATCTTATACATGGCTGCATCCCTAAGCACCTTATATGTGCTTCTTGAATGAATGAGTGAGTGAATAAATGAAGACAGGAGAGACCAGAGTGATTAGGTGATTTTCTCAACATAGCAAACCAGTATAACAGCTAGGTCTGGAACCAGGTTTTTAATTTTGTGTCCTGTGCTCTTTTCACTCTATTATATACTACTTCTTCTTTGTATGGATGTATATATATAAAATCAGGCAAGCAGCCAAAAATATACAAGATTCCTTTTCAATGAAACTCTGAAATACAACATTTAGGGCTACTCACTTCATTATTTAAAATTAAGAAGAAATTTTTTTAAAAAAAGCAAATCTGGAATGAGTTCAGAAGAAAAACAAGAGTCTTCTAGAGTCTAGAGAGAGTGATTTATGAGGAGAGACCAAAAGAATCTAACACAGCAGAGCAGAGTCTAGTTACTAGATGACTATCTCAGAATGCTGTCCAAACACAGAGAACAGAAAAAATACCCATTGAAACATAAAACGAAGCAGTAGAACACTACTAATCCATGTACGCAAGTGTTCTCACAAAACCCTTGCAATGTTAGAGATTTCTTGGAATCAAATTTATAGTAAATGTAAATATCCATACTGAAATTGACCATCACCATTGACACAGGAAAATGACTGAAGTTAAATGTAACATCTGGTATAAAGGCTTTCGTTTCCATGTTGAATTTGTTCAAATAGTGTTTAAATTGCAAAGCATTTCCATTCCCTGCAGGGTGCTTCACAAAATAAAAGAACACTATGGTAGGTGTCATGTAAAGAAGAAGAAGAAAACAAACGAGGTTTAACACCAAGACAATTTTGCTGGAAGTGGATCTATTGAGTTGTGAAATAACCCTCCAAGTAAAGTAATCATGGTTAATTCCCGAAGGAACAAGGTTGGTTCTCAGTATCTGGAAAACTTTTTATTTTTCTGAAAATTTTCAAAGATTTCAAGCCAAAGTTTTATTTGGATCAATGAGTTCCAATGAGAACTTTTACCTTTCAACCATTTTGAAGAATAAAAAGACTTGAAGAGATGAAGCAGAGAATTGTTTTTAAAAAAAGTCATTGCTCCTCTTGTAGTGGAGAAACTCATTGATCTTTTTGGAAGTGGTGAAGTGGAGGAAGATTTTCTTTGATCTTAAAGGTTTGATTACATTTAAGATTTTAAAAATACTATTCATTTTTATTATTTCTTTATTTTAAAAAGATGAAATTAGGAGGATGCATGTATGCTGGAATGAAATAATCAGGATTGCTAATTGTATGCACAACATTTTCACTGTAACTCCTATATGAAAAAGTACTAAAATAATGTAGAACCCAATTTGTAGACAACATTTTTTTAAAATTATACTTTAAGTTCTGGGATACATGTGCAGAACATGCAGGTTTGTTACATAGGTATACACATGCCATGGTGGTTTGCTGCACCCATCAACCCATCACCTACATTAGATATTTCTCTTAATGCTATCCCTCCCCTAATCTCCCATCCCCGACAGACCCTAGTGTGTGTTGTTCCGCTCCCTGTGTCCATGTGTTCTCATTTTTCACCTCCCACTTATGAATAAGAACATGCGGTGTTTGGTTTTCTGTTCCTGTGTTAGTTTCCTGAGAATGATGGTTTCCACCTTCATCCATGTCCCTGCAAAGGACATGAACTCACCCTTTTTTATGGCTGCATAGTGTTCCATGGTGTATATGTGCCACATTTTCCTTATCCCGTCTATCATTGATGGGCATTTGGGTTGGTTCCAAGTCTTTGCTATTGTGAACACTGCTGCAATAAACATATGTGTGTATGTGTCTTTATAGTAGAGTGATTTATAATCCTTTAGGTACGTACCCAGTAATGGGATTGCTGGGTCAAATGGTATTTCTGGTTCTAGATCCTTGAGGAATCATCGCACTGTCTTCCACAATGGTTGAACTAATTTACACTCCCACTCAGAGTATAAAAGCATTCCTATTTCTCCATATCCTCTCCAGCATCTGTTGTTTCCTGACTTTTTAATAATCGCCACTTTAACTGGCATGAGATGGTATCTCATTGTGGTTTTGATTTGCATTTCTCTAATGAACAGTGATGATGAGCTTTTTTTCATATGTTTGTTGGCTACATAAATGTCTTCTTTTGAGAAGTGTCTCTTCATTTCCTGCACCTACTTTTTGATGGGGTTGTTTGTTTTTTCTCGTAAATTTGTTTAAGTTCCTTGTAGATCCTGGATATTAGCTCTTTGTCAGATGGATAGATTGCAAAACTTTTCTCCCATTCTGTAGGTTGCCTGTTCACTCTGATGATAGTTTCTTTTGTTGTGCAGAAGTTCTTTAGTTTAATTAGATCCCATTTGTCAATTTTGACTTTTCTTGCCATTGTTTTTGGTGTTTTAGTCATGAAGACTTGCCCATGCTTATGTCCTGAATGGTATTGCCTAGGTTTTCTTCGAGGATTTTTATGGTTCTTCTAGGATTTTTAAGTCTTTAATCCATCTTGAATTAATTTTTGTATAAGGTGTAAGGAAGTGGTCCAGTTTCAGTTTTCTGCATATGGCTAGCTGGTTTTCCCAACACCATTTATTAAACAGCGAATCCTTTCCCCATTGCTTGTTTTTGTCAGGTTTGTCAAAGATCAGGTGGTTGTAGATGTGTGGCATTATTTCTGAGGCCTCTTATCTGTTACATTGGTCTATATATCTGTTTTGGTACCAGTACCATGCTGATTTGGTTACTGTAGCCTTGTAGTATAGTTTGAAGTCAGATAGCATGATGCCTACAGCTTTGTTTTTTTTTTTTTTTTTTTTTTTGCTTAGAATTGTCTTGGCTATATGAGCTCTTTTTTGGTTCCATATGAAATTTAAGGTAGCTTTTTTCTAATTCTGTGAAGAAAGTCAATGGTAGCTTGATGGGAATAGGATTGAATGTATAAATTACTTTGTGCAGTATTGCCATTTTCACGATGTTGATTCTCCATATGCATAAGCATGGAATGTTTTGCCATTTGTTTGTGTCCTCTCTTATTTCCTTGAGCAGTGGTTTTTAGTTCTCCTTGAAGAGGTCCTTCATATCCCTTGTTAGCTGTATTCCTAGGTATTTTATTCTCTTAGTAGAAATTGTGAATGGGAGTTCACTCACGATTTGGTTCCCTGTTTGTCTTTTATTGGTGTATAGGAATGCTTGTGACTTTTGCGCATTGATTTTGTATCCTGAGACTTTGCTGAAGTTGTTTATCAGCTTAAGAAGAATTTGGGAGGAGACGATGGGGTTTTCTAAATATGCAATCATGTCATCTGCAAACAGAGACAATTTGACTTCCTCTTTTCCTATTTGAATACCCTTTATTTCTTTCTCTTGCTTGATTGCCCTGGCCAGCACTTCCAATACTGTGTTGAATAGGAGTGGTGAGAGAGGGCATCCTTGTCTTATGCTGATTTTCAAAGGCAATGCTTTCAGCTTTTGCCCATTCAGTATGATATTGGCTGTGGGCTTGTCATAAATAGATCTTATTATTTTGAGTTATGTTCCATCAATACCTGATTTAGTGAGAGTTCTAAGCATGAAGGGATGTTGAATTTTATCAAAGGCCTTCTGCACATCTATTGAGATAATCATGTTGTTTTTGTCATTGGTTCTGTTTATGTGATGGATTATGTTTATTGATTTGTGTATGTTGAACCAGGCTTGCATCCCAGGGATGAAGCTGATTTGATCGTGGTGGATAAGCTTTTTGATGTACTGCTGGATTCGGTTTGCCAGTATTTTATTGAGGATTTTTGCATCAATGTTCCTCAGGGATATTGGCCTGAAATTGTCTTTTTTTGTTGTGTCTCTTCCAGGTTTTGGTATCAGGATGATGCTGGCCTCATAAAATGAGTTAGGGAGGAGTCTCTCTTTTTCTATTGTTTGGAATAGTTTCAGAGGTAATGGTACAAACTCCTCTTTGTACCTCCTGTTGAATTTGGCTGTGAATCCGTCTGGCCCTGGGCTTTTTTTTGGTTGGTAGGCTATTAATTACTGCCTCAATTTCAGCTCTTGTTATTGGTCTATTCAGGGATTCAACTTCTTCCTGGTTTAGTCTTGTGCAGGTGTATTTGTCCAGGAATTTATCCATTTCTTCTAGATTTTCTAGTTTATTTGCATAGAGATGTTTATAGTATTCTCTGATGGTAGTTTGTATTGCTGTGGGATCGGTGGTGATATCCCCTTTATCACTTTTTATTGTGTCTATTTGATTCTTCTCTCTTTTCTTCTTTATTAGTCTGGCTAGTGGTCTATCTATTTTGTTGATCTTTTCAAAAAACCAGCTCCTGGATTCATTGATGTTTTGAAGGGAATTTTATGTCTCTATCTCCTTCAGTTCTGCTGTGATCTTAGTTATTTCTTGTCTTCTGCTATCTTTTGAATTTTTTGCTCTTGCTTCTCTAGTTTTGTTTTTAATTGTGATATTAAAGTGTTGATTTTAGATCTTTCCCACTTTCTCCTGTGATCGTTAATGCTATAAATTTCCCTCTAAACACTGCTTTAGCTGTGTCCCAGAGATTCTGGTACATTGTGTCTTTGTTGTCATTGGTTTCAAAGAACTTCTTTGTTTCTGCCTTAATGAGAGGTGACAGCATGCTGGCAGTCCTCACAGCCCTCGCTCACTCTCGGCGCCTCCTCTGCCTGGGCTCCCACTTTGGCAGCACTTGAGGAGCCCTTCAGCCCGCCGCTGCACTGTGGGAGCCCCTTTCTTGGCTGGCCAAGGCTGGAGCCGGCTCTCTCAGCTTGCGGGGAAGTGTGGAGGGAGAGGCGCGAGCGGGAACCAGGGCTGCATGTGGCACTTGCGGGCCAGCTGGAGTTCCAGGTGGGCATGGGCTTGGCAGGCCCCACACTCAGAGCAGCCGGCTGGCCCTGCCAGCCCCGGGCAATGAGGGGCTTAGCACCCAGGCCAGCGGCTGCGGAGGGTGTACTGGGTCCCCCAGCAGTGCCGGCCCACTGGCACTGCGCTCGATTTCTCGCCGGGCCTTAGCTGCCTTCCTGTGGGGCAGGGCTCAGGACCTGCAGCCTGCCATGCCAGAGCCTCCGCTCCCCCCACCCACCGCTGTGGGCTCCTGTTCAGTCCGAGCCTCCCCAACAAGTGTCCCCTGCTCCATGGCGACCAGTCCCATCGACCACCCAAGGACTGAGGAGTGTGGGTGCACGGTGCGGGACTGGCAGGCAGCTCCACCTGCAGCCCCTGTGCGAGATCCACTGGGTGAAGCCAGCTGGGCTCCTGAGTCTGGTGGGAACTTGGAGAATCTTTACGTCTAGGTCAGGGATTGTAAATACACCAATCGGCACTCTGTATCTAGCTCAAGGTTTGTAAATACACCAATCAGCACCCTGTGTCTAGCTTAGGGTTTGTGACTGCACCAATCGACACTCTGTATCTAGCTACTCTGGTGGGGCCTTGGGGAACCTTTATGTCTAGCTCAGGGGTTGTAAATACACCAATTGGCACTTTGTATCTAGCTCAAGCTTTGTAAACACACCAATCAGCACCCTGTGTCTAGCTTAGGGTTTGTGAATACACCAACTGACACTCTGTATCTAGCTACTCTGGTGGGGACTTGGAGAACCTTTGTGTTGACACTGTATCTAGCTAATCTGGTGGGGACGTGGAAAACCTTTGTGTCTAGCTCAGGGATTGTAAATGCACCAATCACTGCCCTGTCAAAACAGACCACTCGGCTCTACCAATCAGGAGGATGTGGGTGGGGCCAGATAAGAGAATAAAAGCAGGCTGCCCAAGCCAGCAGTGGCAACCCACTCGGGTCCCCTTCCACACTGTGGAAGCTTTGTGCTTTTGCTCTTTGCAATAAATCTTGCTACTGCTCACTCTTTGGGTCTACACTGCCTTTATGAGCTGTAACACTCACCGTGAAGGTCTGCAGCTTCACTCCTGAAGCCAGCGAGACCACGAGCCCACCAGGAGGAACAGACAACTCCAGACGCACCGCCTTAAGAGCTTAACACTCACCTCGAAGGTCTGCAGCTTCACTCCTGAGCCAGCGAGTCCACGAACCCACCAGAAGGAAGAAACTCCAAACACATCTGAACATCAGAAGGAACAAACTCCAGACACGCCGCCTTTAAGAACTGTAACACTCACCGTGAGGGTCTGTGGCTTCATTCTTGAAGTCAGTGACACCAAGAACCCACCAATTCTGGACACATTAATTTTGTTATTTACCCTGTAGTCATTCAGGAGCAGGTTGTTCAGTTTCCATGTAGTTGTGTGGTTTTGAGTGAGTTTGTTAATCCTTAGTTCTAATTTGATTGCACTGTGACCCGAGAGACTGTTTGTTATGATTTCCATTCTTTTGCATTTGCTGAGGAGTGTTTTATACCCAATTATGTGGTCAATTTTAGAATAAGTGCGATGTGGTGCTGAGAAGAATGTATATTCTGTTGATTTGGGGTGGAGAGTTCTGTAGATGTCTTTTAGGTTCATTAGGTCTAGAGCTGAGTTCAAGTCTTGAATATCCTTGTTAATTTTCTGACTCATTAATCTGTCTTATATTGACAGAGGGGTGTTAAAATCTCCCATTATTATTGCGTAGGAGTCTAAGTCTCTTTGTAGATCTCTAAGAATTTGCTTCATGAATCTGAGTGCTCCTGTATTAGGTGCATATATATTTAGGATAGTTAGCTCTTCTTGTTGCATTGATCCCTTTACCATTATGTAATGCCCTTCTTTGTCTTCTTTGATCTTTGTTGGTTTAAAGTCTGTTTTATCAGAGACTAGGATTGCAACCTCTGCTTTTTTTTTTTTTTTTTTGCTTTCCATTTGATTGGTAAATCTTCCTCCATCCCTTTATTTTGAGCCTATGTGTGTCTCTGCACGTGAGATGGGTCTCCTGAATACAGCACATTGATGGGTCTTGACTCTTTATCCAATTTTCCAGTCTGTGTCCCTTAATTGGGGCATTTAGCTCATTTACATTTAAGATTAATATTGTTATGTGTGAATTTGATCCTGTCATTATGATGCTAGCTGGTTATTTTGCCCATTAGTTGATAAAGTTTCTTCATAGTGTGGATGGTATTTACATTTTGGTTTGTTTTTGCAGTGGCTGGTACTGGTTTTTCCTTTCCATATTTGGTGCTTCCTTCAGGAGCTCTTGCAGGGCAGGCCTGGTGGTGACAAAATCCCTTAGCATTTGCTTGTCTGTAATGGATGTTATTTCTTCTTCACTTATGAAGCTTAGTTTGGCTGAATATGAAATTGTGGGTTGAAAATTCTTTTCTTTAAGAATGTTGAATATTAGCCCCCACTCTTTCCTGGCTTGTAGGGTTTCTGCTGAGAGATCAGCTATTAGTCTGATGGGCTTCCCTTTGTAGGTAACCCGATCTTTCTCTCTGGTTGTCCTTAACATTTTTTCCTTCATTTCAACCTTGGTGAGTCTGACGGTTATGTGTCTTGGGGTTGCTCTACTTGAGGATTATCTTTGTGGTGTTCTCTGTATTTCCTGAATTTGAACATTGGTCTGTCTTTCTAGGTTGGGGAAGTTCTCCTGGATAATATCTTGAAGTGTGTTTTCCAACTTGGTTCCATTCTCCCCGTCACTTTCAGCTACACCATCCAAATGTAGGTTTGGTCTTTTCACATAGTCCCATATTTCTTGGAGACTTTGTTCATTCTTTTCATTCTTTTTTTCTCTAATCTTGTCTTCACACATTATTGCAATAAGTTGATCTACAGTCTCTGATATCGTTTCTTCTGCTTGATTGATTGGGCTATTGATACTTATGTATGTTTCACAAAGTTCTTATGCTGTGTTTTTCAGCTCCATCATGTCATTTATGTTCTTCTCTAAACTGGTTATTCTAGTTAGCTATAATATTTGAACATGTTAAGATACTCAGTTCCTGGTCTACAGATAGTCTTCTCATGGTATGCTCACATGATGAAAAAAGAGCTGGAAAACTCTTGGCGTCCCTTTTATAATCCCACTCACAATGGTTCCACCTACATGACCTAACTACCTCTCAAAGGCCAAACTTGCTAATACTCTCCTATTGAGGGTTAGGATCTCAACATATAAATTTTGGGGGGACACAAACATTCAGTCCATAACTAGCACATTGTCACTTTTGTCTTGTTGTCTCTTGGGTAATTTATTCAGAGTAAAGGCAGCAAGCATTTAAGGAGCATACTTAAGCAGTCTAATAGTGATGTCCACATAATGAAGAACTGAGGCCTCTTGCAATCAACCAGCACCAGCTTGCCGGCTATGTTGCTGAGACCCCTAGTTAAGACATTAGATAACTATGCCCCGGCCAGCACCTTTACTGCAACTGCAAACTGGATCCACCCATCTAATCTGCTCCTAAATTCTTCACTTCTAGAAACTAAGAGAACAAAGGTTTACTGTTACCTTAAACCATTAAATTTAACATAATGGTTATATAGCATCAGATAATTAATACAGCTTATTTTATCACATGAGAAAAATAATTAACATGTGTTAAATAATTATGTGTTTTGAAGGATAACAAAGAAATATGTGTACTATAAAGACTTTAGGATGCCACCTTTTTGTTTATGTCCAGGATATAAAAACAATAATAAAAAAAAAACTACTGGATTCTTAAATTTTGGAACATTCTTATCTAAAAATGATATGTTTTTAAATGTTCAGTTTCTGCAACAATTGTGGAAGAATCAACTGTTACATTGGCAATGTTAATCACTTGCTTTGAACTGTAGTGAGACTACACAACCTGTATTTTTGAAAGTACTGAAGTAGATCTCTTAGGTAGTCGAAGGAACGGATGAAATGGCACTGAGGAGCAATATTACTTTCCATAAGAGTTGAGATTGATTTCAGCAAGACTCTGTGAGTAAAATATTAAGATTTGATTTCTACTCAGTTATGTTCTTTCTTTTTCTTTTTCTTTTTTTTTTTTTTTTTGAGATGGAGTTTTGCTCTTGTTGCCCAGGCTGGAGTATGATGGAGTGATCTTGGCTCACTGCAACTTTGGCCTCCTGGGTTCAAGCGATTCTCCTGCCTCAGCCTCCAGAGTAGCTGGCATTACAGGTGCCCGTCACCACACCCAGCTAATTTTTGTATTTTTAGTAGAGACAGGATTTCACCATACTGGCCAGGCTGGTCTTGAACTCCCAACCTCAGGTGATCCACCTGCCTTGGCCTCTCAAAGTGCTGGGATTACAGGTGTGAGCCACCATGCCCGGCTGTACCCAGTTATTTTCTTTGGGAAAAAATGTACTGGTAGTAAAGTTGATGTGGAAAAAAAAAAAGACTTTCCTACTCAAGCATGTACTTGTTACCTGTTTCGCAAGAGTCTATGGAAAATACTGAAATGGGGCCCGAGTCTTCATATTTGCAATAGACTTTGACTATTGCTTATAATGAAGTGAGATTCTGCAAAAATTTTTCTCCCTACTGAAATGGGCCGTGTCTCTGCAATAAGGGAGAATAATGTATATATATTTTCTGTTTAAAAAAACTGTTTAGAAATCACATTGGTCTATTTTTTTCACATTTCCATAAATAAGTAAGAAGAGACTCCTCCTTAGTGTCCCAAATGAGTAAAAAAGTTACAACAGAATGTCTTATGGAAAGCGTTAGAGGGGTCAGAATGTCCTCCTTTCTTTCCCACTTCCTGTCAGATGTTAGGCACATCGTAGTCAATCCCTTTGGCATGCATTTCCACCTCTGTATCTCTATATGGCAGGTGTTTTGTAAAGAATCTCACTTTAGGTGGGCAGGGGAGGAAAGGCAGGGATAAACAGATCTGATAATAATGGCTATTGCTTAGTTTTTTGTTTATAAAGAGAGAATTAAAATCTTCCTAACTAGTCTCTGTGTCATTGTGTATCTTTGATTTCTGTCAGAGTGAAAGAAAACATAAAACAGTACTGTTTTCCATCTGGGCATGGTGGCTTACGCCTGTAATCTCAGCACTTTGGGAGGCTGAGATGGGCGGATCACGAGGTCAAGAGATCGAGACCATCCTGGCCAATATGGTGAAACCCCGTCTCTACTAAAAATACAAAAATTAGCTGGGCATGGTGGCACATGCCTGTAGTCCCAGCTACTTGGGAGGCTGAGGCAGGAGAATTGATTGAACCTGGGAGGCGGAGCTTGCAGTGAGTGGAGATCATGCCACTGCACTCCAGCCTGGCAAAAGAGCAAGACTCAGTCTCAAAAAAAAAAAAAAAAAAGTACTGTTTTCCTCAGAGATAGGAGGTTATGCATCCGATAATTCATTTCTGTTGGCCTCCTCTTTAAAATGCAAATATGTATTTCATTGATTAGCTCTAATAGTAACTTATAATCTGCCTAAATTACTTTGATTAGGATACGAGTATATACTCCTCTCTGTACATACCTAGTTAACAGAGAAAAGATAGAACTTTTTTCTGTAGGGGTTATAAGGTAATTTGGACTAGGTGTGGCATTGTGGGTAAGGAAGGTGAGTGAGCTGTCTCACTGGATGTTTCAGGATAGCCACAGTCTGCATGAAGGATGGTGAACATTAGGATGTTAGAGATGAGAGGAGAGAAGTCCCCAAGTTTGAGAGGAGTAAGCAGAATAAAGTTAATCAAGTATGAAAAGGTCAAAAACTGTGTCTGAGGTTCGGGTGGTAGTAATTGCTATAAAAGATTTTAGAAGATGGGGCATAAATTTTTATTGAATCTTGTCCTTGGGTCCCTGAGAATATAAAAGAGGGACTGTCCTTTGGTTTTTCCAATTTTTCTTTCCCTGTTAGCTCTCAGAATGGTCAGAATGTGGATACTCAAAATCAAAGACATTTTCAAAGTAGTTTTCCATTAGTTCAGGCCTAGATGGATGAAGTTTTAATGACATTTGAAATATAGTTTATACCTGCATTTGGAGTGTTCTCAGGAATCAAAGGGATAAATAGATAAGAAGCCAGGAGAGAGAATCTTGAAGTTGAAAACTGCCCAAGTCCAGGCCACACTGGGGGCTAATATGACTATCAAAGCAAATTTTTTGCTAGTGTGATTTCAAAACTGGTCTTAAAAGCTCTTGTTAATGACTCGGTAATTGTTTTAATAGCGCCTCAGTCAAGTGTGAAGTGTTGTAGCTGACATGTCAGCAATGTATGAAGTATGGCAAAAGTTTCCTCCAGGTATATCTAGAGTATCATTAAGGATTCCTGCTTACATTCTGGCTTACATAGCAACAAAAATTTATTTACTGTAGCCATAAAACTTTTCTCTGGTTGTCTAAGGAAGTCTCCATTCAAGTTGGCTCTGTGAGAGGAACGTTGAAAGAATATTTGATGAGCAGCACCTTTCTCTTTTCTGGGCAGCTTCTTCAGTAGGCAATGGAGTTATTTAGTTCAAATTCCCTCTGCTTATTTCACATGAAGAAATCTTCCCAAATCCCAGCAGGGAAATAACCTTTGAAAAGTATTTGTACAGATTTGCATTCAATTAATATTCATACATTCCTTTATTTCACAAATATTTATTATCTTCTATGTACCAGGCACCATCCTAGGGACTGTGCATATAACACTGAACAAAATCTTTGACAGTAAGAATACTGTATTCTAATGAGAGACCCAAAATGTGTGTGTGTATATATACACGTATATATATGTATATACACACACATGCACATAGCACACGCACACACACACACACACACACACACATATATATATATAATTGTTCAGTTCTATGAAGACAAGCAAATGATCGGAATAAGAAGTCCTGGTGGTAGTATGATAAGGATGGAGTTTTATCTTATTTTATTTAGGGTGATCAGAAAAGGCTGATATTTGAGCAAAGACCAGAGGAAAGTGAGAGAGCAGATCAGTAAGGTATCTGGTAGAAGAAAGTTCCAGGCAGAGGACATAAGAAAGACCCTGAGGTGGGAGCACACTTGGCATGTTTCAGCAACAGCTAGGAGCCCAGTGTGGCTAAACAGCATATAAAGAAGAAAGCAGTAGCCGATAAGGTAAGGAAGGTAAGGTGTGGAAGGAGGCAGATCTTGTAGGATCTTGTGGCCACTGTCAAGACATTGACTGGCTTTTCCTCTCAGTGAATTGGGAGAGTTCTGAGCAGAGGAGTCACATGATCTGAATTACCTTTTAAAAGATTTCTCTGCCTACTATGAAAATGTGTGCGTGTGTGTGTGCACGCGCGCACGCGGTGCAGGAGGAGCATTAAGGGAGCATTAAAGCAGGGAGACAAATGCAATTATCAAAAGGACAGATGGTGAACTAGGACTGTGATGGTGCAGGGAATGAAAACTGATGGATGAATGTAGACATATTTAGAGGCAGACCTGATCCTGGCTTTGGGGTCAGAAAGACAGTGAGTATGATTCTAGAGTATTTATCCTGAGCAACAGGATTAACTTTCTATTAACAAGACAGTGAATATGAATACCTACTGTGTGCCAGACATACTATAAAGCCAGTGAGTGACACAGCTAGAATTGAAGCCATATACAGCTGACACGTTTTTTCATGTCTCATAGACGTTATCTGTTCTTGCCTCTCTAATTACATGAAAGACGACATGATGCTTGGAACTACATGGACTATTTTGTTACTATGAGGAGATGCATCAGTCAGAGAATGATCAGGCAAGAATGAGATGGCACATGCAGATGAGGTAATTATGAATTTTGTAAAGAGTGAGCAGGGTAGAAGGGAACTGCAGGAATAGATAGCACCCTAGGGCTGAAGATGCAAGAGGAGAGAATGATTACCAGAACTGTGAGTACAGCTTTAGGAGAGGGGTGCCCTGGAAGGGCTGACATCAGGGCCTTAGGTAGAGCAACTCAGGCTCTTACGAACCTTAGCCTAAAATGGAAAGAGCCAGGGGAATCATCTACCTAAATTCCGACTCTTCTGGCACTTTCATCTGCTAGCATTGCCTTAACATAAGCCATAGGACAGGGATGTCCAATTGATTTAACTCATAGAAGGCTGTTTTCCAGGGAACAGAACAGGATGTAGATACATGGATCTGAAGTACAGTGGAGAGCAAAGCATCCAGTATGCAAATGAACCTAGAGACACAAAGCAACATGGAAGGGTGGCAGAATGGAGAAGTAGAAAAAAATCTTGGGTCCCTGATGATGTTCCTGTGTTATTATGCTGTATCTGGAATGACAACTTTGTTTTTTATTTTCCTTTAACTTTTCATTTTGAAATAATTTCAGACTTACAGAAAAGTTGTACAGTTAGTAGAGGGTTTCTATATACCCTTCGGCCAGATTCCCTCAGTGTTAAGATCTTGCATGACCGTAGTACAATTATCAGAAGTAAGAATTAACATTAGTATAATAATGTTAACTAATCTATAGATATTTGGATTTTACCAGTTTTTCTGCTAATATCTTTCTTTTTTCCCTGTTCCAAGATCCAATGCAGGATCCCAAATATAACTTAATTGTTGTGTTTCCTTAGTCCATTATTTCTGCAGCAATTTTTTTTTCTTTGAGATGGAGTTTCACTCTTGTTGCCCAGGCTGGAGTGCAATAGCACGATCTCCACTCACTGCAATCTCCGCTTCCCCGGTTAAAGCAATTCTTCTGCCTCAGCCTCCCGAGTAGATGGGATTATAGGCACCTGTCATCATGGCTGGCTAATTTTTGTAGTTTTAGTAGAGATGAGGTTTCACCATGTTGGCCAGGCTGGTCTTGAATTCCTGACCTCAGGTGATCTGCCTACCTCAGCCTCCCAAAGTGCTAGGGATTATAGGCATGAGCCACCACGCCCGGCCAACAACTTGTTAACCATTACTGTCTTTTATAGTCTTCACACTTTGGAAGAGTGCTAGTTAATTATTTACTAGAATGTCCCATAATTTGAGCTTATCCAATGTTTTCTCATGATGGACTATGCATTTTAGGCCAGAAAAACAAAGAAGTGATGATCCCCTCCCTGTGTATCATATCAGAATATAAATGATATCAGTTGTCTTATACATTTATTAATTATTACATAATTACTAATACATCTTATGCATATGATATCAACTTTGTTCTCATAATGTGGTTTCAGCTAGGTTCAACCTTTTTGATATGAAATTATTAAGTATCTTATCACTTAAGCAACTTAATAAAATTGCTATTATCTTGCTTGCAGATGAATACATCATAACAAATATGCCAGTCCTTTGAGTTATCTTTCTTTTCTCCATTGTACCTTATTTACTGTATGACAGAATGAATAATTTAATCAAGAGTTCCTGGATTATATATTTATGACCTGTGAATATAGTCAATTTACAGAAAATCAGTGGCAGAGTTGTCTGTTCATCTTGTCGATTTGTCTATTTCCTGAAACTAAATAGCAAGTTTACGATTAAAACAAGATAACCTTTGGTGATGAAATTAAATAATCAAAAGTTAGGAGGAATTGAAGGAATTATTAATTCAACTTCCTGAGTAATTATGAACTCTCTTTTGCCAAAATAATGAAAGCTCTTCATACACTGCTTGACCACTTTGTGGAGGACACACTATATTGCAAAGTAGCTCCTTTCAGGCAACTGTCTCTCTTTTATTTTTTAATTATTCTTTATGCTAAGCTGACTATGTCTTTATAAATTTGTCCCAATGATTCTATCCACTGACTTAAAAAAACATAACTCTTCCAAAGGCAGGCAACCTTCAAAACATTTCTAAACGCTCATTAAGTTTCATAGAATTGGTTATCAGCATAGGTCCAAGGATAGAAAATCCCTGTGTTACACCTATTCTGCCCATTTTGGTGTTAATTGTTTAATCAACCATGTCTGGGCTCAGTTGTTCATCTCTGAATTCATTCAAGTTTTGTTATTCAGCTATATTTCTGTATTTTTTCTAGGAGGATATCTTGAGAAGTCAATTAGTTAGGAAAATCCTAATAGCTATAATCAACCAACTCCCAAGTTTCAATGATTAAACAATAGAACTTCATTTGCCACTCAACAGTACAGACCAGATGTTTTTGGTAGGTGCGTATCTCTCTTCCACATGTGATACAGCCATCTAGACTCCTTATGTTTTATGGTTCTGTCATTCTTAGGGTCTTTGAGTCTTCTGCTTCAGTTAGCTGGAAGGAACATCTGCTTCTTCAAACCCCTGTCTAGAAAGGATGCTCATCATTTTCACTCACATTCCATTGGCAAAACTTGTCATATGGCCCATCTAGACAAAAGAGGCCTAGGGAATATAATCTACGGTGGGCTGCCCTCTTTCAGAATTTAGCTCAGCATATGGAGAGGAAGCGCTTATGTTAGACAGATGGCATGTTGGCTTTGTTAAATTATTTCTTAAATACAGAAATAATGTGTCTGGGAAATTTCTGTGACCCAATAGTCTAGTACAGAATCTGCAAACTTTTTCCATAAAAGGCCAGAAAGTAAAGATTTTAGGTTTTGTAGATCATATGATCTCTGTTCCAAGGACTGTCATTGTAATGCCAAAGCTTCCTTGTATGACAAATGCATAAGTGTGGCTATGTTCTAGTAAACTTGATTATGAAGACTTAAATTTGATTTTTGTATAATTTTCATGTGAAGAAATATTCTTCTGTGTTTTTGGTTTGCTTGTTTAAAAATATGAAAAAAAGTTTTAGTTCTCAGAAACACAAAAGCAGACTGCATGCCAGATTTGGACTGTGTGCTGTGGTTTGCTGATCCCTGATCTAACATCACACTCTAATAGAAATGAGATTTGTATAGCATCCTTTGAGTTAAGTGAATACTTGCTAAGTCTTAGTACTCACTGTTTCCCTGCCCCTATAAATTTTGGTAAATCAGTTACTAATTAACAATGTATTCTAGATATCATATGATATGTAAGTCAATTCAGCAATCTGATTTCATACTTTATTAATTACTGCTACAATTTATTAAGAACTCACAAGGTACAATGATTTTACATACATTACCTTAACTCTTAAAAAACACGTTATGACATAGCTATTGTCATTCCCATTTTATCACTGAAGATATTAAGGTTCAAAGCAGCTAAAAAAATATTTTGCTTGTATTTCACACAGCTAGAAATGCAAAACCCAGAACTGAACCCAAAGTTGGATACAACTCTTTTCACCACAACAAGTTTTCCTGGAGGTAGATGCGTGAACTCATTAAAAACTGATAGCTAGTATTTTATTCTCTGTCTTCACTTTTGTTTCAGTTCTGTTGCAACTTTTCGTGTATATTTTATCATTTACAACTTCAAAATACTATTTCTTCAATGGATCCAAAACCTGCCAGGTACAGTGGCTCACGCCTGTAATCCCAGCACTTTGGGAGGCGGAGGCGGGTGGATCACCTGAGGTCAGGAGTTTGAGACCAGCCTGGCCAAAATGGGGAAATCCTGTCTCTACTGAAAATACAAAAATTAGCTGGGAGTGGTGGTGTGTGCTTGCAATCCCAGCTACTTGGGAGGCTGAGGTAGGAGAATCGCTTGAACCCGGGAGGTGGAGGTTGCAGTGAGCCGAGATGTCTCCATTGCACCCCAGTCTGGGTGACAAAGCCAGACTCTGTCTCACACAAAACAAAAAACAAAGCAAAACAAAACAGCACAGCTAATGCCAAGTGACAGTGGAGAGTGGAGACTCTCATTGTGGAGAGTGGTTTGGAAGTCCTAATGCCTGTTACTGACAGGGTGGGCAAGTGAAAAACCTCACAAGAAAGAACACATTCTCTCTGAAGAAAGAAAATAAAAGCAAGTAGGAGGTAAGTAGTTCTGCCCTTGAGCTCTGTGGAAATGTTGGCCTTGGTCTGTTACTAATATGGTCTTGGGTAATACACTTAACCTCTCAGATTTCTAATCTCAAAATTGCTTATTAAATTCATTTGTATACTGACCTTTTACAAGTGAACTTGAGGCAACATTGGCAAATCAAATTTAGCACCTATTCTGCAAAATTCACAAGGTTGCTGATGTTGCTCCAGTTAGGGTATGTGACGAACTGCTGATACTCCACAAATAAAAGCTATTGATATGAATAATTTAGATTTCTACACTCATAAATTATGTTCAGTTAGGCTCAAAACATACTGGTACTTATTCTATGAAATATAATAATCTTTAATGAGAATAATGTTATTTGCCCTTTCCCACATTGTATAAATGTTAAAAGGATGAATCCATTAATCTCTGTTAATATTTGCCCTTTGGACAAAACTATTATTAAATAATAGGATATACTTTCCCCTAGAATAAATATCACATTTCATAATAAATGTGTGTAATTAGAATTCTATATGAATTTCCAAACACAGGTATTAGTGAAATATTATTTTGGAGGAAAAAAAGTAGCCATTTTATAACTCATTGCCTCTTCAGTGGTGTTTTCACAGGGAAGTTACAGGTAAGATGCAAAGGTGTGGCATCAGCAGAAGAGGTGAAATGAATGTCTATATACCATAGCCTTTTTCTTATCTTACGCAGTAAAATTCAGTAGAAAGCAAATGGATATGCACAGTATTAAATTAACTTAACAACAAAGAGCTAGAGAAATTCTTTGTAGCAACACATCCTGCTACACACACGTCTCTCCTTCAGCAGGCTATTACCTTTTAACCATTTGAGGCTTCTCACATTTCCGCTGCAGCTGGAGCATATCCCAGGGCACTTCCTGCCTCTTAGGATTTTTGACACAGAGCCCTGTATCTCTACCATTTGGCTTCCTTCTAGGCATCCGATTTGTTGCAATGAAGATCAATTATGTCTCTATTGTCATCTTCATCATAAGTAAAAGATGTCCAGTCTACTTTCCAGAGACAGGTATACCAGTTTATGTGTGTGGCAGGGGGAGGGGAGAGAAGCAAGGAGTGGATGCCGTTCTGTTTGTTTTTGACACGAAACTGTTTAAATTTGCACATAGGGAGAACATAACCCAGACAAATATTCTTATCAAATGAAAATGTCACACTATATTTAGGGAGCCCTCACCAAAATCTAACCAGATCCATACTTCACCTAAACATCAGAAGAAAGGCTTTAACATTTGGCAAGGATTAATGATTGATTTCTTTTGTCTAGCCATATCAATCAGACTCTAAAACATGCACTTATTTTGACCCCATAATACAACTTAGGATGAGTTCATCCTGCATACACACTGACAAATGTGCATCAAGAAATATGAATAAATATGGCCATATTATTATTGTTCAAAAAGTAAAAAACCAGAAACAGCCTAAATGTGGATCAGTGATGGAATGGTTCAATAAACTAATAATTTGCATTTTAAATATTATGTTGCCATCAAAATTTGGAGCAGATTTATATGTACTTATATGAAAAGGGCTCTATTCTTATGTAAAAAAAAATTCATGGAATAAGACGTGTATTCTGATACCATTAATGTAAACAGTGGATGCATGCATGTATGTGTACCTACACACAAACTTAGAAACATATATGGAAGGATGTATATAAAACTATTAGTAATAATTTCAATTAGATAATACAGGAATGGAAAATTTGGAGCAAAAATAAAAGGTGATTTCTTATTTCACCCTACTTTGAATTTATTTTCTTTTTATATTTCTCTACACATTCATATCTACTTTATTAAGTCAAGCAGGTCAGCAACACAAAAGAAAATAGCCTTTGAAGACTCTCTTACCGTCTTTAAAAAGCTGTAGTTTTCTTTATCTCAATAAGCTCCTATAGTTATAAAGACTTTTGCTCTTTGAAAAACACACATAGGTGTCACACACAGATGTACCTGCAGGGAACAAGAGGGTATTAGCAGTGAATAAATTGTGGTGAGCAGACACTGAGGTAAACAAAGAATGCATGCTTTATCTGAAGTGGGCCTTAGCCTCAGACTATCGTGCCATTGTGACCCAGCATTGTAATTCTTGCTATCTTTCTGGAAAAACTGGAAATTCATATTATTAGGAGAAATGATCCTACTTTAAAAATATTGGTGCCTAAAGAGTTCAACTTTTTTAGATTCCACATGTAAGTGATACACGCAGGATTTGTCTTCCTGTTTCTGGTTCATTTCACTTAGCATAATGCCCTCTAGATTTATCCATGTTGTCACATGTGGAAGGCATGGAAGCATTCCTTTTTTTTGAAGACTGAATAATATTTCATTATATATGAGAGAGAGACATACACAGACACACATATACATACATACATGTATATACACACACATACATATATATCACTTTTTAAAATCTTTTCATCTGTTGATGGACACTTAGCTTGATTCCACATCTTGACTAATGTCAATAATGCTGCAATGAATAGAGAAGTGCAGATATCTCTTCCAATTATCAGCCAAGAATTTTTTACCCAGCAAAACTAAGCTTCATAAATGAAAGAAAGATACAGTCTTTTTCCAAACAAACGAATGCTGAGAGAATTTGCCACTACCAGGCCAGCACTACAAAAACTGCTAAAAGGAGCTCTAAATCTTGAAACAAAATCTCAAAATTCACCAAAATAGAAGCTCCTTAAAGCATAACTCTCACAGAATCTATATAACAATAACAATGAAAAAACAAACAAACAAGTTATTTAGGCAACAAATAGCACAATGAATAGAATAGCACCTCACATCTCAATACTAACATTGAATGTAAATGGCCTAAATGGTCCACTTAAAAGATACAGAATGGCAGAATGGATAAGAAATTACCAACCAAGTTTCTCCTGTATCCAGGAGACTCACCTAACACAGAAGGACTCACATAAACTTAAGGTAAAGGGGTGGAAAAAGATATTCCATGCAAATGGACACCAAAAGAGAGCAAGAGGAGCTATTCTTATATCAGACAAAAGAAACTTTAAAGCAACAGAAGTTAAAAAAGACAAAGAGGAACATTTTATAATGGTAAAAGGACTAGTCCCATAGGAAAAGTTCACAATTCTAAATATATATGCACCTAGCACTGGAGCTCCCAAATTTATAAAACAATTATGAATAGACCAAGAAATGAGGTAGACAGCAACACAATAATAGTGGAGGACTTTAAAACCCCACTGACAGCACTAGACAGGTCATCAAGACAGAAAGTCAACAAAGAAACAATGGACTTAAACTACACCCTACAACAAATAGACTTAACAGATATTTACCGAACATTCTACCCAACAACTGCAGAATATACATTCAATTCATCAGCACTTAGAACATTCTCCAAGATAGACTGTGTGATAGGGCACAAAACAAGTCTCAGTAAATTTCAGAAAAAATTATATCAAGTACTTTCTCAGACCACAGTGGAATGAAATTGGAAATCAACTCCAGAAGGAACCCTGAAAAACATGTAAATACATGGAAATTAAACAACCTCCTCCTGAATGATCATTGGGTCAACAATGAAATCAAGATGGAAATTAAAAAGTTCTTTGAACTGAAAGATAATAGTGACACAACCTATGGAAACCTCTGGGATACAGCAAAAGCAGTGCTAAAAGGAAAGTTCACAGCATTAAATGCCTACATCAAAAAGTCTGAAAGAGCACAAAAAGACAATCTAAGGTCACACCTCACAAAACTGGAGAAACAAAAACAATCCAAACCTAAACCCAGCAGAAGAAAAGAAATAACTAAGATCAGAGCAGAACTAAATGAAATTGAAACAAACAAATAAAAACAATACAAAAGATAAATGAAACAAAAAGATGGTTCTTTGAAAAGATAAATAAAATTGATAGACCATTAGCAAGAGTAACCAAAATAATAGAGAGAAAATTCAAACAAGCTCAATTAGAAATGAAACGGGAGATATTACAACTGATACCGCAGAAATACAAAAGAGTATTCAAGGCTACTATGAATACCTTTACGTACATAAACTAGAAAACCTAGAGGAGATGCATAAATTCCTGAAAATATACAACCCTCCCAGATTAAACCAGGAAGGTATAGAATATCTAAACAGACTAATAACAAGCAGCGAGACTGAAATGGTAATAAAAAAAATTTCCAACAAAAAAAGTCCAGGACCAAATGGATTGACAGCTGAATTCCGTCAAACATTCAAATAAGAATTGGTACCAATCTTATTGATATTATTCCAAAAGATACAGAAAGAGGAAAACCTCCCTAAATCATTCTATACAGCCAGTATCACCTGAATACCAAAACCAGACAAGGACACAACAAAAAAAGAAAACCACACACCAATATCCCTGATGAATATAGATGTAAAAATCCTCAGCAAAATACTAACTAACCAAATGCAACAGCATATCAAAAAGATAATCCACCATGATCAAGTGGGTTTTATGCCAGGGATGCAGGGATAGTTTAACATACATAAGTGAATAAATGTGATACACCACATAAACAGAATTAAAAACAAAAATCACATGATACAACTCGACAGATGCAAAAAAAGCATTTGACAAAATTTAGCATCCCTTTATGATTAGAACTCTCATCAAAATCAGCATAGAAAAGACATACCTTAAGGTAATGAAAGCCATCTACAACAAACCCACAGCCAATATCATACTAAATAGGGAAAAGTTGAAAGCATTCCCCCTGAGAACTGGAAGAAGACAATGATGCCCACTTTCACCACTTCTGTTCAACATAGTATTGGAATTTCTAGCCAGATAAATCAGACAAGAGAAAGAAATAAAGGGCATTAAAATTGGTAAAGACGAAGTCATGCTGTCACTGTTTGCTGATGATATGATTATATACCTAGAAAACCCTAAAGACTCATCCAGAAAGCTCCTAGAACTGGCAAATGAATTCTGCAAAGTTATGGGATACAAAATTAATGTACACACATCAGGAGCTCTGCTGTACACCAACAGAGACCAAGCTGAGAATCAAATCAAGAACACAAACTCTTTCCCAATAGCTGCAGAAAAACCATAAAATAGTTAGGAATATACCTAACTAAGGATGTGAATGACCTCTACAAAGAAAACTACAAAACACTGCTGAGAGAAATCATAGACAGCACAAACAAATGGAAACACATCCCATGCTTACAGCTGGGTAGAATCAATATTATGAAAATGAACATATTGCCAAAAGCAATCTACAAATTCAATGCAATTCCCAAAAAAATACCACCATCATTCTTCACAGAACTAGAAAAAACAATCCTAAAATTTATATGGAACCAAAAAAGATCCTGCAGAGCCAAAGCAAGACTAAGCAAAAAGAATGAATCTGGAGACGTCACGTTACCCGACTTCAAACTGCACTGTAAGGCCATAGTCACCAAAACAGCATGATACTGGTATAAAAATAGGCACATAGACTAATGGACCAGAATAGAGAACCCAGAAATAAAGCCAAATACTTACAAGCAACTGATTTTCAACAAAGCAAACAAAAACGTAAAGTGGGTAAAGGACACCCTATTCAACAAATGGTGCTGGGACAATTGGCAAGCTTCATGTAGAAGAATGAAACTGGATCCTCTTCTTTCACCCTATACAAAAATCAACTCTAGATGGATGAAGGACTTAGGTCTAAGACCTGAAACCATAAATATTCTGGAAGGTAACATTGGAAAACCCCTTCTAGACATTGGCTTAGGCAAAGACTTCATGACCAAAACCCCAAAGTGAATGCAATAAAAACACAGATAAACAGACGGGGCTTAATTAAACCAAAAAGCTTCTGCACAGCAAAAGAAGTAATCAGCAGAGTTAACCAACAACTCACACAGGGTGGGAGAAAATCTTCACAATCTATACATCTTACATAGGGCTAATATCCAGAATCTACAAAGAATAAAACAAATCAGCAAGAACAAAACAAGCAATCCCATCAAAAAATGGGTTAAGGACATGAATAGATTATTCTCAAAAGAAGATATACAAATGGCCAACAAGCATATGGAAAAATGTTCAACATCATTAATGATCAGGGAAATGTAAATCACAACCCCAATGTGATACTATCTCACTCCTGCAAAAATGACCATAAGCAAAAAATTAAAAAAAAATAGATGTTGGTGGGGGTGCAGTGAAAATGGAACACTTTTACACTGTTGGTGAAAATGTAAACCAGTACAACCACTATGGAAAACAGTGTGGAGATTCCTTAAAGAACTAAAAGTAGAACTACCATTTGATCCACCAAGCCCACTACTAGGTACCTACCCAGAGGAAAAGAAGTCATTACATGAAAAAGACACTTGCACATGCATGTTTATGGAAGCACAATTTGCAATTGCAAAAATATGGAACCAGCTGAAATGCCCATCAGTCAGTGAGTGGAAAAAGAAAATATGATATATATATATATATATATATATATATGGAATATATATGGGATACTACTCAGCCATAAAAGGAATGAAATAATGGCATTCACAGCAACCCGGATGGAGTTGGACACTGTTATTCTAAATGAAGTAACTAGGAATGGAAAACAAAACATCGTATGTTCTCATTAATATGTAGAGATAAGCTATGAGAATGCGAAGGTATAAGAATGATATATTGGACTTTGGGGGCTTAAGGGAAAGGGTGGAGGGTGGCAAGGGTTAACAGACTATATATTGGGTACAGTGTACACTGCTTGGTTCATAGATGGGCCAAAATCTCAGAAATTACCACTAAAGAACTTATTCATGTAAACAAACCCTGCCTGTTTCCCAAAAACTTATTGAAAGAAAAAATAATTTTTTTAAAAAAGAATGCATTTATCCCTTAACGTATAACATATAAAACGTGTAAAACCTCACTCATCTAATGTAAATTCTCTGGCAGAATATGATTTTTAACTGGGCAATGATGCTAGAAAATATACTATGAAGTGGAATATGAGAAATAAGTTCTAGATACCTTTTAAATAATGTTGGGAAAATTGTAAAAATAAATTACATGTTTCATAGCTTAGCTCTCCTCATGTAATGGGCTTATCCTGGAAGTACTGAAATTCCTTTAATTTCCATATACTATACTTTGTTCCAGAATAAAAGTGACCCAGTTCTTTTGCACCACCGCAAAAACAAACAAACAAAAAAAAAATTAAAAAAAAAAAACTCAAAAAATAACGGATGCTGGTGAAGCTGCGAAGAAAAGGGAACTCTTATACTCTGTTGGTGGGAATGTAAATTAGTTCAACCACTGTGGAAAACAGCTTGGAGGGTTCTTTGAAAACGAAAGCCAGAACTACCATCTAACCCAGTAATCTCTTTACTGCGTATATACCCAGAGGAAAATAACTGATCTGCCAAAAAGACAAGCATTCATATGTTTGTCGCAGTACTATTCACGATAGTGAAAACATACAATCAACATAGAATCAACCTAGGTGACCAGCAACAGCGGATTGGCTAAGGAAAATGTGGTACATATACACCATGGAATATTATGAAACTATAAAAAAAGAACAAATTTATGTCCTTTGCAGCAACATGGATGCAGCTGGAGGTCATTATCCTAAGTGAATTAACACAGAAATAGAAAACAAAATACCTTATGTTCTCACGTATAAGTGGGAGCTAAATACTGGATATACATGGACATAAAGATGGGAACAATACACACTGGGGACTACTAAAAGGGGGAGGGGAGGGGAAGCAAAGGTTGGAAAACTGCCTATTGGATACTATGCTCACTACCTGGGTGACAAGTTCATTTATACCCCAAACCTCAGCATCATACAATATACCCTTGTGACAAACCTGTGCATGAACCTTCTAAATCTAAAATAAAAGTTGAAAAATAAAAATAGTAATGAAAGAAAGAAAGAAGAGTCAGCAGGGCATGGTGTCTCATGCCTGTAATCCCAGGACTTTGGGAGGCCGAGGTGGGCAGATCACGAGGTCAGGAGTTCGAGACCAGCCTGACCAACATGGTGAAACCTCGTCTCTACTGAAAATACAAAAATTAGCTGGGCATGGTGGAGTGCGCCTGTAATCTCAGCTACTTGGGAGGCTGAGGCGGGAGCATTGCTTGAACCCGGGAGGCAGAGGTTGTGGTGAGCTGAGATCGTGCCATTGCACTCCAGCCTGGGCAATAAGAGCGAAACTCCATCTCCAAAAAAAAGAAAGAAAGAAAGAAAGAAGAGTCAAACATTTACTGTTTTTCGCTTCTCTTTAGAGGGCCCAATTCTTTTACATATAAGGATAGAACAAATTCTATGACATTTAAATTAGAAGAAAAGAAGCAATCTTTGCATATTAGGCCCTGCCCTTGATTTATTATGTGATTTCTGGTAGAAAAAAATTTCTTCTTCTATATCTCTGACAAGAGTACTATAACATGTTTCCTGCTTACAGCTACACAAAACTCCCCTAATGGGAATACTCCATTTAGGATTATGCAAATGGTGAACCTGTGGGCATGTTTGACAAAGCTCTCAACATTCCATGTCAATGTCCTAACCAGTTAACGTTAAGCACATGACTTAACAGATTTTCAAATGTGAACAGGATCTGCTTCTATTGTTTATTAAAGGCAAGCCTGAACAACCTCTTACTCTGATTGAGGAACATCGGTATTGACAGAAGAAAAGCCTAATGGCCTATTTGAGAACCAGAGTTGAGTGAAATTTCCGTTTCCACTTTTTTAAATGAAGGACTCTCTTTAGTTCAATATATATTTCCAGTGTGGTTAAAGTGAATACTTTAATACCATTTTAAAGGAAAAATCAAGAATCTTTGCTATTCTGCTTCATAAAGAATTCACAAAGGGATCAACTTAGAGAAAATAAAGATTAAATAATCGTGGCTGGGGTTAGTGCCAGGAAAATGGGTCACTTATGAATACATACACAGTCACTCATTCAACAAATATAGACAGACCCTGCTATTTGTAAATTAAATTATATAGCTCCCTCAATTGCCTATATTTTAATGGGATGGGAGAATACAAACAACTGTCATTTTACATAATAATAGAAAACGATTGTAGGAAAAATACTGAAAGGAAATGACAATATAGTGTATGATTAAAAGTACCAACTAGATGTTCATAGGGAAAGTTATGACAGAGGAAATCATGATTTAATTGGACCCTAGAAAACAACAAGGAATTGGATTAGAGGAGCAAAGGTCTTTGAGTTTTCTTTCCTATTTAAGATGAGGACAAAACAAACAAAAGAGCATGTGTATGAATGGCAAGTTTTAGGGGAGAATAACAAGATAATTCCAGTCAGAATAGAGTCTATAAAAAGAGAAGCATGGAAGACAAAGTTGGAAGAAATTTTGGGAAAAAACCCTTTGTGCCAGGTGAAGAAAGTTGTTTGGATTTTAGACAAAATGGCATAATGAAGGCAAGTTGGAGTAAGAGAAAAAGCAGAAGTTTTGAAGTAAGAGAAACTTGGACTTGGATCCCAACTCTCTATTTCTTCTTTATAAAAGAAGATAATATTATCATATAAGTTTATTAAGAATATTAAGTATAATAATATATATAAAGTAGCTGAGCCATATAAACCCTGACATATGTTAAACATCATGCCACTCTTCCATTTTATTCTCTATGTAGTTGAGTGTTATAAAAATTTTTGAGTGGGCTAATGACTTGATAAAGAGTGTTTTAGGAAGATAAATTTGATCAGCAATTTGCAGGAGGTGTTGGAGGAAAAGAAGTTAGCTACACATCATTTTATAGGGTAGAGAGTATGAATCCCCATAAAACAATGTATGCATAATAAAGTTCTTCTGGGGATGGATACATAAGCTTTTGATTATTGAATAAGTCTGTGACTTCCAAAAAGGTGAAAATTCCTGTGTGTATTATAGAAGATGCTACACTATGAAGGACTAAGGAAGAGAAGCGGAACACAATAAAAAGATGTAATTATTGTATACCCCAATTAAAGGAGAAGTTGAAAATGATACTGAAAACTTTAATCATTTTGCAGAGAATATCATGATATTTCCAGAGAGGAGATGGTCAGTCTGGAACATGTTGATTTTCAGGTTGTCAGAATTGCTAAATAAAACCCTACTAGACCGCATTTTGCACAGATTTAGGATGTATGTCTGGGTTGGAGAGAAATATAGTTTAAGGCAGTTTTTCTCAGATTGTACTTCTGCTCCAAGGCAGGAGGCCAGGCAGTACATAAAGCCATAAGATATAATGACATAGCTTTTGAGAGCACATTCCAAGATATGAAAAAACTGTTTTAAAATTTTTGCAATTAAGACAAATTGTTATGCCCTCATACAGTGAAGTGTTATGAAATAGAAAATAAAGTCTACAAACATTTTTAAGATTAAACACAGGATGGGATAAATCTGCACTAATTCACTATTGCTGTCAGAAGTAATTCAGATAAAAGTTGTGAGAAAACTGCCAAAGAAAGATTGTGAAAATAAAGCAAGCAGAGGGGCAAGGACTAGGCCTTCAGTACAACCAGAGTTAGAAGATTGAAGGAAGAAGATTCAATTAAGGAGAACTTGTCAAAAAGGCAAGTAGACGTACTATAAAAACTAAGTGTCAGAAACCTGGAAAAGAAAGAGTTTTGAGAACAGATCATCAACAGTGTCAAATGCAGCAGCAGAGCTGCATAAAATGAAGAGTTAAAATCTCTTTAAGGTTATAATGTTCAGGTTGTATGTAAGGATGCTTGGATCATGTTCTAGAATATAAGATTTAATGCAGAAAATTTCCTACTTGTAGCAAGCCTTCCAGAGATGAATAATCAATCATAAATGTGAATCCCTTAGGCAGATCATTTATTTTAAGTGCTTTTTACTCTCCTCATCACAGCAGCATGCAGCATCCTTTACTCAAATCTTAGAATCCGTCAGTCTCATCCACTTCAGACTCAATTAGAAGTTGAATATTGTGGAGAATGGAATAATTTATAATATCAAAACTTAGCACTTTAGGAATAATGATGGGACGAATCCATTTTTGTTGTTGTTACAGGAGCAGCTCAAATACTCAGAGCTTTATTATCCAGCCTCCTGCATTAGTCAAAATGAGAAAAAAACCACATATATGCACGCGCGCGCGCGCACACACACACACACACACACACACACACACACCACAAACGAGAAGTCTATTATTATTGTTACTATTGCTGTTGTTAGAGAAGAAAAACAATACATATCACTCTTATTTTTTTAAAGCTGCTATAACTTCAGATATGCAGCAAAAGCATTCTTGGAAGCCACTGCGTCGGATGAAAATATTCATAATATATTCAGTCTGCTGAACCCTCAAGCCATTTCTCCAAAGAAGTACAAATAGTACATGAACAAGCATTCAGTCAGTGGGGGGATAGGGGAAAAGAGCAAGCACTAAACTAGAAGTCAGGGCCTGCTTCCACTGTTCTTTGTGATTTGTGCCAGTGGCCTTCGTTTATAAATTTCAGTTGGTCTGCCTATAAAGTGGTGAGGACAATATCTCTCCAACCCAGTTTACCACTCTGGGCCTAAGCATGATCATTCACAATAGACAGACAATTACATCTTTCTTCACAAATGTACCATAAGGATTATACTTGATAACATCTGTAAATGTGCTTAGCATTTGGTAAGCATTCAATGGGATGAGTTTGAGTTCTTTCCATCGTTCTCTTCCTCCTTAGGGATTCTTTGAAACAACCAAATGACATAAGCCACTATACTTTAAGCATTCATATAACATAAATATGAGAGGCAAGGAGGGAGGGAGAGAGAGAGAGAGAGAGCGAGAGCGAGAGCGCATGTGTGAGAGATATTGAGAGAAAGACATTGAGAAAGAAATGCATCTTATAGGAGATTAAAAACTGCAGAGAGGCTTGGGTTGGAAGATAGCCTAGAGGCAGATAGTGAATAGTAACAAAATCTGGTAATTCTGCAGTTCTAGAAATGGGTATGATATTAGTATTAGGAGAATGAATTTCATCTTTAAAAAGATCTCATGGTCTGTGAGATTGAGACAGTCATCATTATAAGACCTTTTAGAGACCCTCCTTTTAAAGACCCTCCTTAAAGACCTTGAGATGCTTTCCATTGCTTATAAGCCACCTAGCCTGTGGTACTTTCTTATAGCAGCCCAAGCTGACTAAGACATAGGGCTATAATTTCCCTTTAAATAACATTGTAAGAGGACATTTATGCAAGAGTACTCTGGGTTTTTTGCCAAGCACTCTAGTACAATTGCTGTCAAATATGGGGACTCTGACCCACAGGTTTAAAGAGCATAAAATAATATTTAACCATTGTATGTGCAATGCATACTCATATTTTCCATTTTAAATGGTTTTCTCGGCCTGTTAATGAGTCAATCTGCACTTGCAAAAAAAAAAAAAAAAAAAAACCACAGCAAAAACCTCAAAGTTTTTGGTAGTTCCTTTTATATATTAATACTGAGAACAATGGTATAAGGTATGAACACTATTTTTATAAAAACTATTTATTAATCAGTGTCTATTTCAGGGGTTACTTTGATACCTGCTCTATTTAATTTATATAATTAAATATATATTTCTTACTAAAGATAGAGTGTGTCAGTTAGTATGACAGTATTTCTTGCAGCGGCTCAGATTTAACATCCTCACCAACGTAGGTCATTTGTTATGAGAGTGCTTTTGCTGCATATTTGAAGTTGTAGTAGCTTAAAAATATGTCAAGTAACAAAGATGGATATGTACAAAAAAATCTCCATTCAGGGAAAAACAAGCAAAAACCTCCGAATGTGTACTTTGGGTTTATTATGCAAAAAGAGGGGTCATTACACGAGGCTCTGGTTTAGAGTTCCCTTAACTTCAGTGGTCTATGTCTATTATCTGAATTAGTTTATGGTAGCTAATTAAAATATTTTTGAAATGAATTGAAATTGAAGGTTTTTTTGTTGTTATGAGGATTCTCAGGTAGTTTGTAAAACTCTCTCTATAGAGAATATTTTAATCTAATTTAGGGGTTCTGGTACTGATGAGTGGAAGACACAAACCACTAAACACAAATGAGAAATTATGTAATCCTAGTGAGCAACATTAACATAAGAAAAATAATACCACATAGCCATGTGAAATAACATACTTTATTGTGTGCTTACAAAGGAATTGGAGCTGTGGGTCAAGTGACACTTCATCCCTGATTTTCCTGATCATTATAATTTAAATATTTTGTCCATTTATCAGATTATTTTCAGAGTGTGCACTCTAAGTTTTGTGTGAAGAAAATCGGCTTGATATTTTTGGGTTTATAAGAGTAGAAGCATTTGCTCTTTATTTACTATTTAAGCAAACTTGCGGATTAAGTAAAGCAAAAAGTAATGTTGAATTAAAAGAAGGAGAAAGCTTGGAGTGCATGACCAGAGCGCTAATTAAAATAGTGAAGTAGGTAGATTTTGTCCTGAGACTCATTCTTCTTCCATTTTAGTGCCCCTTGCACACCTTGCAGAAAAGTCTGAACCTGCAGTCCTACCAGTGCAGACTCTGAAATGAAGGAAACTTGTGTTAGAATTCAAAGGTGATTGCTTAGTAGCCACTTAACTTGAATTTAGCATGGAGTTGCCAGATGCACAATGGTAGAGCTAATTAAATTTGAATTTCAGAATAATGACAAAAGAAACAACAAATAATTTATTTCATGTAAGTTTGTCCCAACTATTGCATGGGACATCCTTACACTAAGCAATTATTCATTGTTTATTTGAAGTTCTAACTTAACTGAGTGCACTGTTATTCATCTGGCAACTCTATTTAAATTTTAGATTACTGATGAAAAACTAAATAAATTCATATAAATATAATTTTAATGATGAAAAATAAATAATTTCCTACATATATGTTCCAAGTATTGCATAGGACATACTTATACTAAACAATGACTCATTGTTTATGAGAAATTCAAATTTAACTAGGCATCCTATATTTTTACTTGGTAAATCTGACAACTGTTCACCTATCATGATCCCTGGCACATGATAGAAGATACCAAATATCTCCAGAAGCAGAAAGTGGTAACGGAAACAGCAAAGACTTTTGCAAATTGATATTGATGCAAATTCTGCTTTTACCAGAATTTTATTTTGGACAAAATTTACCAGAATTTTATTTTGGACAAAATTTTAAAAAGATCTTAGTCTGACCTTCTTGGGGCTGTGTCCCGTAATCTGAAGCTCTACTTTCTCCTCACCATGAAAATTACTTGACTTTCAACTGGTTCTTGCCTTGGAAATTAACACATTTACATGATAATTGAAGACTTTAAGATCCCTCCATGTAAACTCACAGAAATGAAGTACTTTCCCAGTCTCACCTTTTTAGTAGCTTATTATCTACTCCACCTATTATACTTTTGGAATAAGCCTAGGAGAAGAACCCTCTTCACAATACCTGCCTTTTTCTAAATGTGTAGTCAAGGGAAAATCCCTTGGATTACTGTTGAGGATGGGCAAGAGCACAATAAATTACCTTTAGTACTAACATGCCTACCATTTACATAATGCTGGGCATCCAGAGATCTGAAAAGTTAGGCAGTTTACATAGTAACTTTGGTTTTCATTATAATTTGCTCAATGATCTACATGGTATGTTCCACAGGTTGTCCCTCATTAACAATGCATAGATGGATAAGGTGTGCAAAATTGCAGCAAAGGCAGTGCTTTTGTTTTCACGAGTCCCTGCTCATGCATCTGTGATGCATTGCCTGGGATGAATGTGTCTCAGATTTATTCTGAAGCAACTTGTACCTTCAGCATTCCCTAGAAGTGACAGAAGGGGTTTAAATCTGTTAAGTGTGTACTCCATTCCACACTGCCATAAAAGGCAATGCAGTTTGGGAATTTATTGTCCAACTAGTCCCCTAGCACTCTAGCATAATGGGGTGGTTCCCATCCTGTGGGCATCCCCAGGTGACCACTTTCTAGCTTGTCAAGTACAAGCATTAAATTGATTACTTAATATGTTGGCTTTATATGGTAAATACTCATATTTCTAGACTTTATAATGAAACTGTAGGCAACATGTATAACTGATATACAAATGTATGCTTTGTCACATAAATTTATAACAATCTTACAAGATATCTTTATTATCAACATTTTGCAAATGAGAGAAATCAAAGCAGAGAGAGGTTATATAACTTATCCAGGATCTCACAGTTAAGAAGTGATGGAGCCAGTTTCAACTCAGGAAAACTGAATTTTGAATCTATATTCTTTCTTTTTTTTTTTTTTTTAGATAAAGTCTCCCTCTGTCACCCAGGCTGGAGTGCAATGGCGTGATCTCAGCTCACTGCAACCTCTGCCTCCCACGTTTAAGCGATTCTCCTGCCTCAGCCTCCTGAGTAGCTGGGATTACAGGCGCACACCACCATGCCCGGCTAATTTTTGTATTTTTAGTATAGATGAGGTTTCACCATGTTGACCAGGCTGGTCTCAAACTCCTGACCTCACAAGATCCACCCTCCTTGGCCTCCCAAAGTGCTGGGATTACAGGCATGAGCCACCGTGCCCAGCCCAAATCTATATTCTTAACTCCTAAGTAATGGTTTTGGGTGATATAGTATAATACATGGCAATAATAAAACCATCTCCTTGTGCAAGTATCAATTCCTTGGAATGAAGTCATTATATGCAGAAAGTTGTATCTTTATTTGTAATGGGACCTAAGCCAGAGAATTTCATTTTGAGAGACACTATTTATCACCTCAGGCTAAGACTTAGCTGGATGCTTCTGCTAAATGTCAGTGATTCAATTCATATTCCAAAAGAGGTTTTATTCAGTCACTATATTGGATTTGTTTTCAAAGCCATACTTCTACTTGCAAGCTAAGTTTTTGTCTGGTTGGTTGGTTGGTCGATTGCTTACAAAGGGAACAACATAGAGAATACTTCAATGTTAAAATATTTTAGGACTAATCATAGAAATGTGATTTGAAAGGCTGAGATAAAACATCCAAAAGAAATACATCTTATTTATGGGTCTGAGCCCTTAAATTCTCACTGCGATTTGCAAAAGTTATTGAGCAAGGAGGTTTAAATAATTTTTAAGTGTGTTTTTAAAAAAAAGTCTGTGCTACTAGAAAGAAAAAGAAAACAACTGTTCTTGCTATCATACATTACATGGTTAAAGGGGCACCTCCCTTAACTGACTGGAGGAAGTTAGCTGTTGGTTTCAAAATCACTCTTTCCAGAAAAGCAGGGTGTGTGACTCAGATTTCCACCCGAAGGTGGTCCTTGAGAGAAGGTCTTAGATGTTTAGAAGAGGTTATGTTACATTCTTTGGTATCACTTATTATTTCCTTCAGGCAAACCACATGTCAGAGGACTTCAATCTGAAAATGACGTGAGTTACATGGGTTCCTTCCTCTTCGTTTTTTAAAGGTCCTCTTGTCTTTCTGTTTTCATGTGTGCTCTTCACTGGCAGCTTTCTATAAACAAATGCACTTATCAGAATAAAAGAGTCATTTCACTTCTCTAGGGAGAGATTTTTATATCCATCTTTTGAAGAGATGAGATGAAACGTAGTTTGAAATTGAATGTATACAAATTAGTGTATAGATCTCCACATTTTAAAAGACCCTGAGTGGTCAAAATGATGAAACAAATGAGAAAGAAAAATAAGAGGACAAGAACTAACATTAATTGGAAACCCAGTGTGTATCTCACAACCTTATAGGTATTTTGCACACAGCATTTAATTTGATCCTCCTATTAAGGATTAAATAGACATTTTATCTCCATGTTATTGATGAGGCAACTGAAGTGTGGACATATGAAAATAACTTCTACCAAATTATGCATGTTATATAAATAGATAGACCAGTAGAGGAAATAAAAACAAAAACTCAGGATCTGTGATTCCTATACTACTACTCCAGGAACACAGGCATAGCATTGAGTGCTAAAGAGTCTAAAAATGGCTGACAAAATGGAAAACCTCCAAAGTCCTAGAATATGGATGTTTAAAAATCTTTATTTCTAAAAATAGTCTCAAAGTTTATGTTCCAATAAGAGTTTGGCATCTATAAAAGACAAATTTAGTTAGAAAAGTATGCCATTGACCCTCAAGGAGACGTTTTTCTCTAGAAGGATTTTGTATTATGGTTCTCTAGAAGGACAGACCTAATAGAATATATGTATATATGAAATGGAGTTTATTAAGGAGAATTGACTCAGACAATCACAAGGTAAATGCCCACGATAGGCCATCTGCATGTTGAGGAGCAAGGAAGCCCAGTGGTGGATCAGTCCAAGTCCCCAAATCTCAAAAGCCAGGAAGCCGACAGTGCAGCCTTTAAGTCTCTGGTGAAAGGCCTGAGAGCCCCTGGCAAGCAGCTGGTGTAAGTCCAAGAGTCCAAAAGCTGGAGAACTTGGAGTCTGATGTTCGAGGGCAGGAGGTATCCAGCACAGGAGAAAGATGAAGGCCGGACGACTCGGCAAGTCTGTTCTTCCATCTTCTCCTGTCTCCTTTATTCTGGCTGCACTGGCAGCTGATTAGATGGTGCCCACCCATACTGAGGGTGAGTGTGCCTCTCCCAGTCCACTGACACAAATGTTAATCTCCTTTGGCAACACCGTCACAGACACACCCAGGAACAGTTCTTTTCATCCTTCAATCTAATCAAGTTGACACTGAATATTAACCATCACAGATTTTATACATACTTAGGGTCAAGTGTTAAGCATTTTGTTTCAACTATAAGATATATGCTTGGAAATTAGTTTGGCTGACACTGGAATTTAGGTATTATATTAAGCTCAGAGCCTTTTGGATTGTAACCCATTTGGCATTATATCATGTTTTATAATTATGTGTTTTTTTTCTCCTCCCCAGAACCACAGTTTCCTATTAGACAAGAAGTGACAGGTTACCGTAATCCAGGTAGGAGTTGCCTGTCAATATGATATTTTTTCAATAGCATTTACTGAAACATACAAGATTTAGGTATGCCCTAATTGTTGTGGGATTTTCAAAATGTGTCATATTCTATGGGAATCAAGCCGTTTAATTCATTAATTCATTAAATTAATATTTATTTATTAAATGCTTAAGTGACCTAGAGTTGTAGAAGGCACTAAAGATATAATGGCAAACAAATGCAGTTTATTGGGGGAGACAGTAACTAATAAGCAATAATTGTAAAGCTGCAATTGTTTTAAGTGCTAAAGTATATGGTACTCTGAGGTAGCATAATAGGAAAATTAATGCATGCAGGAAGATTGGGAAAGGGAAATGATCTGAAGTCTGTAGGATGAATAGGAGTAAATTGGGACTAAAGGGGAGGAAAGAGGGTTCGGTCCTCTGAATATCCTGGCTGGGTGATGGTGATGCTGAGGGAAGAAGCCAAGGAGCACACTGAGCTGGGGTGTGCTCATGGGTAAACATGGTAAACAAGGTCAGGCCAGGACTAGGGACGGGGAGGAGATTGTGAGATGTTAGGAGGAAAATTAAAGGATTTCAAAGCTGAGGGAGGATAGGGAATCAGAAAAGGACAGGAGTAACACAATCAGATTTGTGTGGAAAAGATTGCAAAGATTTTTCTAGGTGTAGTGGGGCAAATGCATGAGCAGGGATAAGGATGGATGACAGTGGGTCGATCACTTATGAGCCATTTACAGCAGTCCAGTCCTAGGGGTACTTGTAACCTGTTTCAGGTGGTAGTGAGGATGGAGGTGTAGATAGGAGAACAGAGTGGAGAGATGTGTCTGAATTTTTTATGAACAGACATTGGTGATGAATTACATATGGAAAGATGGGAAGGGAAGAAGACTTGTTTAGGATGACTCTGGTTTCTTATTCTCTATGTTCCTCATTTTTTTTTTTCAAAATGAACCAAACAGGGTTGAGAGTGAAGGAAGATGCTGGGTCCAGTTTTGTACATATTGGGATTAAGGTACCTTACAGATATCTAAATAATGATGTCCTATATACTTTGACATCAGTCCATGGTCCTTAAGCCTCATGCTGTAATCTATTTGTCTTCTAATTGTATTTGTATTTTATCAAATACATAAACATTCCTAATTAACTTAGCAAAATAATTACCTTCAGTTTGTGTGACTTAAACCTTATGCTTCCCAAGTGAAGGCATTGCTTCTTAAATGTTTCCCCCAAAACAATTTAACTTAAGGAAGTGAGCAAATTCTATTATTAAGAAATACAGATTGCAGATGACAGCTATAATGTAATCCAAGCAGATCAGAGGTCTCAAAGCCATGAAACTTGGTTATATTAATAGGAAAGCAAACTGCATTTTCCCTTGTATTAGGATGAGTCTTTATTCTAATTAGGGGAAGTTATCTAAAATCCACATATTTGTTTCCTTTATCTATTTCTTCTATACAAACCTTCTGTGAAAAGCAACAAAGTGGCAGCACAATTCTCTAGCATTTTTACTCCTGTAGGTTTTGATTAACTGTAATTAAGTAAAGGCAATTATTCAAAGGGAAATAAATTTTCTCATTGTTAACTCTATTAAACAAGAAGTCATTTGCTGCTGAGTGTGGTGGATGTAAAGAGACTTAATTACCCCTTTTTCTTTTATCCTTTTTCCTAAAGGAATAAAAGAAGCTTCATATTATTTTCTGAGTCTTGACTCTAGTACACATCTGCCTCCCTTGAGCTGAAGGTTCACAATTTTTTGTTGTAATCCTTTGCGTCTGGAGATACGCCTGTGAACTAGGGGTACAATAATAGCCTGGGTTTTCTACCTGTGAGCCATGGTAGGCAGATCCAGAAATAAGAGCTAATAGTTTATCTGGAAAAACACCTTTGGGAAATTTCAGGTAATCACAAACCACTGTGCAAAACAAAATTAATGCATATTTGGTTAGACTAATGCAGATGTATCTAACTGCATTTAGGCAATTCTGCACATATTAAAATTATTTCACTTCCCAGAAGGAAAGTAAATTTAGGGATGGAGAGTATTTGGGTTGCAAATGGAAAAACTAGATAAAATCACTTTTTATAAAAAGGTTGAGAAAAAAGAATAAATAGGCTTCTATGTTCAGGAGGAAAGTTTGAGAAGTGGGGGAGACAAAGTTTGTGTTGCTGTGAGAGACTTCTTGTCAGATACCGTGCTTGAATTTCCTTGAAATCTGCACATGTAGTCAAATCTACTGTTCTTAATAATGTATACAAATACATCCAGCATTTACAAGATACATCATTAAGAATGCAGTAAATAAATGCAACACTTTCAGCCTCAATATGATATAGGGTCAAGAAGATAAGGGAAGACTATAGAATTGAGTTGAAACATGAAAGATGGATAAACCTTCTAAGAAAGCACCTTAAAACTGGCTGCACAGTGGAGTTATTTAACTGATTAAAAAATCCAATGACTGCAAAGGGTCCCATTGCCAGAAATAATGGTTTGATTAATTCGGGATGGAACCTGAGAATCAGTATTTTTTAAAGGTCCCAGATGATTCTAATGTGTAGTCTAGCTTGAGAATCACTTATATCAGAGATGGTTATCACTAACTATAAACTATTGGTAAAACAAATCAAACATACTTTGTATGTGTATTGAGTGTATTGCTAAAGCTTTCTGGATGTAGAAGGGCTACACAGACATTTTATTCTCATGAATGAAAATGGCTAGCATGTTTGAAAATGAATTAGACAAAGAGTTATTATTTTGTTTTTAATTTCTACTATATAGTAGTCTTAAAAATTAAACCTGTGATGTTAGTATTTGTAGTATTTGTATTTTAGAAATAAAAGGTGAAATATAGAGGACAGAGATAAGACAAAGAACCTACCTAATTTCCAGAGTTTCAAACCTATAACTTGGTGCAAAAGTAATTGCGGTCTTTGCCATTGAAAGTAATAGCAATACTGTAATCACTTTTGCACCAGCCTAATAGAAGATGGTTTGGGATTCAAACCCTATCTCCCTGATGCTTACGGACAGTCTTTCAGGGTTTCCTATAGGGTTATGCTCCTGCCCCTGGCAGGTGCTCATTGGCTTACTATCCTTTTCTCAAAATAACAGTATTTTTCTAGAGAGAAAAGAAATAAAAGTCAAGAGAAAAATGGAAAGAGTAACAAGCTTGGGAAGAATGTTAATACTATTATATTTGTACGTTATATGTTTCACATTTCCGCAGCATATTTTCTTCATTGTTGCTAAGGGAAAGAGAGCAACTGCAATCTTCTATGATGCCAGGAATAGGCTTCATAGATGAAAAGCACGTTTATGAGAAACTTTAAGATAAACTGAATTTAAGGCCTCTTCCATGTGAGTTCTCTTACTTAACATCTTAGCTCCTCAACTTAAATAGAAGGCACATAAATTACTGATGTTCCCACACACTGACTAAAAGCTGGATAGGATTTGGGTTTGAGTATCAGAAGAATTGAGTTCCCTTCTGCCTCGCAATCTGAATCCAGTTCATTCAAACCATGCTTTACAAGAATGAGTTTCTTATTCTTATAAAAATATTTGCAATGAAAATTAATTAGTTTACAACCATATTTAAAACCTTGAAAAATACTGTTTTTGCATGATATCATTATTAATTATTGTATTGCAGCACCCAGCGTGATACCATGCTTATGCAGATACTTTACAAATATTACTTGATGGTTTGATGATTTTGTATGATTAAAAAACACACAAAAAGTTGGCTTTCATTACATGGAATTTAAGGACATATAAGAGTTTGCAAGTAAAAGGTATATATTCTTGCCATTTTTAATTGCTTAACTTTTATAAAACATAGTTTATGCTCTTTTCTAAGCTTTTTAATACTATGCAGAATCGACAGACAAGCTTAAATTACAGTCATATTCAATTACTAGCAGAATATACAATAAGAATACTCATAACATCATAATTGCTAAAACTTATTGATAACATAGTATGTTAGTCACTATACTAATTGCATAGATTCTCTTAAATGCTACAACTACGAATGAGTAGGTAGTAGTATCATTTATACTTTCCCAATGCGGAAAAGGAAACTTAAAGGCATATTTAAGGTCACAAATCTAATTAAGTAGCAGAGCTTGAACTCAAACTCAAAGTTAATCTAGGGGGGTTGAATTTAAGGGAGTTATCATTAAATACATCAATACAAAAAAAATTCCAATATTCTCTCTCTAAGGTTGCATAACTCCCTGTGGCTTCCATAGGCTATTTGGAAACAAATGTGAATATACATGGTTTCTTTCTGTCTATTCTTTGGCTAGTTAGAGGTTTCAGCAGTTCTTACCTGCTTATACAAAAGGCAGACAGATACAATTACAAGGGCGGTTTGAAATAAGTCCAGAATCTTCCTACCCACTGACCATGCAGAATCCAAACCCTTAATATGCATAATGAAGGCATTACTTCACTTTACTTTGTAATTTCTCCTAAAACGCACACAAACCATTACCTCATTCAAAATGGCTTGGATTGAAATAGCTGATTTAAACTGATGTTTAAATCTTAGAACGAAGCCAGGCTGCTGTCTGTGTAAGAGGCTGCACTGCCTTATTACTGTTTTATTTTGATTATATCAGCAAGTGAGAATCAATAGGTCAGACAGGACCTGTGAATTGATGTTTATTCATATGCATGCCTTCCAGCTGAATGTGATTAGAAATGATAGTGTCATTATGTAAGTGCTAATAGTACCTAAAATGTTTGAATGCTCACTACGTACTGAGCACTAGTGTACATGCTCTACATGGATTACTTCAAAACAACCCTATGGGCAGGGACGGTTATTGACCCCATTTTACAGGTGAGGTTAATATCACTTTGCCCAAGGGTCGGCACCTAGCAATTGGCAGTGCCATGCAGGCATTTTTACTTCAGAGTTAGCTCTAAACATCTAAATAGTCTTGGCATGAAATTCTATTATTATTGGAGGTCAAAGGGCATGACTACATTGTAAGCAGTACAATGGAATTGTTTTGGAACCTGAAGTCTCAGCTTCAATTTCTAGTGCACCATTTATCAATCGGTGTCCTTGGGCTAATTACCTCATTTGCTAGTGGAAGATAATAGCATTACCTACCTCACAGGTTGGTATGAGGTGGATAAATTAATTCATATGAAACATTTTAGCATAATGACTAAAAAATAATAAGTACTCAGTTATTATTATGTGAGTTACCTAACTGGCTCCATGAGTTGATTCAGGCTCTAAAAATAGGCAACAGATGCATTAGGCAGCTTTGATTGCTTTCTGTAACTTGACATAGCAGCTTTACGTTACTCAATGATTTAGTACAATTTAACATTTGTAGAGCTCCTTTCTCACAAAGATAATTGATCTCACCAATCATCAGCCAACTTGTGAACTGGCTCAGAATGAGAAAACCCATAAATTTCAGATGCAGAAACAGGCAAGCAGTGAAAATTCTTGCCTCAGGACACACTTGAATTCAAGGAGATTTGAGGATTAGCACCAAGGCATGTTATCTAACCAGAGAAAACACATCTCTTCTGAAAGTTCCTGATAGCCTGAGGACTCAAGGAATCAGACACCCAATGACTCCAGAGAGAAGGAAATGACACCTGAGAAAGAAAATGACACCTGAGAAAGAAAATCTGGCTAGTCTTAGATCTTGACACAGACTCTTGTTTGATGCTGGATATGTTCCAACTACATTAAAGTTCTCTACACTAGACTTGCTCAATTGTCTTGGCAGACTCTGCCATAGATGAGACATCAAGTAATCCATGCTGAGTAGAGAGAAGAAAAACAGTAACTGTAACAGACTAGGTTTCATTAACCCAAGGGTTCTAAGAAAAAAAAAAAACGTTGTAGAAAGCTTCCTTTTTGTGGCAATCTAACAAATTTTAGAAGAGAACTTTTTTATTAACTTATTTTTTGCCAACTGCATTATAATATGTAAGCTGACAGCTATATTTTTATAAAAATAAATTCGTATGTGCATTTTTATGGTACATGGGCTTCAATGGCAAGATGCTTCATTAGGCTGCTAATCTTATCCATCTCACTGGGTCTAGCCTCCCTCCCATCTCCCACCTCCCCTAGATCTATACGCACCTCCTTCTTTACTCCCCCAACTAAAAACACTTGTTAATATCACTTCACTGGGAACTGAAACAATGAGTTCAGTTTCATGAGTTAGCTGAGATAAATGTGGTGGGAAAATTTTTCTTTCTAAGTAATTTAAAGATATAGATACATTCACATATATATTCTTTGATTTATTTTGAAAGAAGTTAGAAAATAGGAGATCATCAAATATATAAACTTAATAGTTCAGTTTTCACTTAAAAAGTTAAAAAAAAAAAAGAAAAAGCCATTTTGTAGTAATCAAGACATTTTTGAGGATAGGACTTGGGCAGAGAGAGTACAGTGGTATTCTATAATCTGTGGTTTCTCTTTCTGTAGTTTCAGTTACCCATGGTTAGTTGCGGGTTTAAAAGTAGGTGAGTATATTACAAAAAGATATTTTCAGAAAGAGTGAGAGAAACCACATTCACATCACCCTTACTGCAGTATATTAATTGTTCCATTTTATGATTAGCTATTGTTATTCATCTCTGTGTCTAATTTATAAAAGAAACTTTATCATAGGTATATATGGGTAGGAAAACACATAGTATATGTAGGGTTTAGTACTAACCATGGGTTTAGGCTCTCAGAACCTATCCTCCATATAGGGGGATTACTGCATGCTACATGCTTGGATGGGATTTCCAATCTCATTTTCTAGTTTAACTCTAACCTTTCTGTCGCATTAGGGTGGAATGTTCTTCTCTAAAACACATGAAGTAAATGAATGCTTGGTAAAGATGTTCATGTTTAATTATAACTGGAAGTCAGACCTGTCTTAGGCAACATAATGATCAAGGTGAAGTTCATCCCTGCTGGCTTCCCATCTACTTCTGCCAGAGCCACTTCTTCCTTCTGACCCTCCCTTTGTCTTCCTGCCATCCCTGATTCTTGTCAAGGGGATAAAGTGTCGGGCAAAGCAAGCTTAAGGGTTTTGCCTTTCAAAGGAGATTTCTTCAAATTTAGAAAATGAAAACATTTTTCAGGAGGGGACCACTAAACCATGAAACTATATAGCTTGGGCATCAGCAATTTAAGTTTGAAATAAAACAGTGTTTAAATTTCAGTTTTGACACTTCTGGGTTTTATAACCATGGGTAAATGACTTCAATCTCTTTTGAATTCTTTGTCTGAAAAGAAATAGGAATAGCAATAGTAGCTATCTCTGTTGAGAGTTGAGAATACGGGGAAACTAGGTATGATGCCTATTTAACCCATAACAAAACGTCAATAGTCAGTAAGGCTGATAATTTGCAGAAAGAGTATCTGACTTGTACCCCTTTAAATAATAACATTTGGGACCACAAAAGTCACTTGCTGGTGAGACTGCCCACCATACCAGTTATAGATTGTCATAACTTCAAGGAATCTTAGAGGTCAGCCACTTCAAGGTACTTAGAAAAAGGTACCTGGCTTATCAGCCAGATAAACCAATTTTTCCACGGCCACATAGGAGTTGAGAGATTGAGTCATGTCTCTAACAGGAACTTCTTACTGCAGTTCTAATTTTTTTCACTTGTAGTTCTAATTCTGTTCACTTCACTGAGAATTCTTGAGTGTATAGGGAGCTGATGATGACAACTTTCATTTTGAAGTAAAGTATTCGTAATCCTTAAAATGTGTATTTTGCTTAAGATTTAATGTTAAGACTCAAATTCTCCATTTCATTTAAACATTTATTGGTTTGGTGTTCACTGAGCATCATTTTTGTTAATTTCAAAATAGTATCATTCATGAGAAACAAAATAAGTTTATGAAATTACTCCCTTTTCTAAACCTAAATTTTGTTGAAGAGCAGAGATGAGGTCCAATTCTACAGACACAGACCCATACACACACCCTCCAACCCCCTACACACAATGTAACACATGAATATTCCAACTCTAGAAAGCATGCTGTTGCAAGTTGCTATTTGAGTTCAGGAAAGAAAGAAATTAATATATGTTTTTGTAGTTATTGTTTTCGTGCATTCTGAAGCACATTTTGAAGTCCAAATAAAAGATATCTGTTGAGTGGATCCAACCTTTAGAAAATAGGTTCGCAAACTTTTTCTATAAAGGGGCAGTTATAAATATTTTAGGCTTTGTATAAGTCAAGAGACAAAATTTTAAAAATCATCTAGGTACTTACATAATTAGAGAAAATCAATTTTTATTATTTTTATTGGCAAAATTTAAAATATAATAAGGACACCATATTTTTGAAATACATTTTTATTACTGAGAAAAAAATGAATTATTTTATGAAGGATAACATTTTTTGTAACTGAGATTCAAAATAATATTTCTTATCCCCAAATTGATTGTGAGCATTTATCTATTAAAAACCATTCTCAGCTCACAGACCCTTCAAAAACAGCCTGGAGAAGAATGATAAAGCGATGAACCAAAGTTAGTTCACCAAGGGAAATGAATGTTATCAAGAAGATCAATGATTGACTCTGGAAAAAAATTCAGAAAAAGAAAATTTTTACAAAAAGAGAGGGCAAAGAAGACACAGAATTAACATATAATAAGATAGCTTCAATAAATTGCACACAAGAAATTCAAGGACTAAATTGCACTAAGTCACAGATTACAACATAATTTCTGAATCTTGCCTTTTATTATAGTTCCTTTCTTTTTAAAATATATATCCTTTATCACATTCAAATATTTTCCTTCAATCCAGGATTAAGAGTGATAAAGTTTCTGGAAGTGAATGTTGCAGAATCAAGCTGGAAAAAGAATGTCATCTTAGTTAATATTTGGGGCAGAGTGAATTATAAGAAAATACTACTGTCTTTGAACTTTATACGGAAGCTTGTGTGTGGAGAGGATGAAAATATGTAATTCCAAATTATGCCTGTTTGGCATAAGGATTATTCTGAGCTGAAGACAATTGAGAGAAAGAAGTTCTCTGCTCTGCTCCTATTTGTCTACCAGCAAAGCACAAATTCCCATTGTGATGGTGTCCCTTCTCCTTCCCCTGACCAGAAAAAGGAGAAAAACCGTTCTTACCACTGAGATTAGTCTGTGTAAACAAACCTTACTAAATAACTCCTATATACCATTAGTTTCCCTCATGTATTTTCCTTCCCATGGTTTATCACCCTTGGAAGCCTAAAACCATCTTAAAAAAAATCTAGTCACTTCTCTACACTCACCACCCTTTGTTAAAGATATAACTCCTCAAGTCTAATTGCTTCTTCAGGCTTTCACTTCTTTTCTCTGGAACTACATTGCATATGAAATTTAAAATAAAATGTCTATGACTCTTCTCCTGTTAATCTGTATTTTGCCAGTTTAATTCACAAGTTCCAGTTACTAAACCTAAGAAATTAGAGGGAAAACTTTTGCTCTCCTATATGTCCTTGCAAGTAATAAACAAAATATAGCAGATTCAAATATAATACCTATAGAAACCTCTTTCACTATTGTAATTTGAGGACTGAGGGTAAGGGGCAATTGTTGCATGATTCAGGCCAAATCTTCAAGAGGTAACCACAGAACACCACAATTTTGCCATTTATTGAAAATTCTAGTCTCTTGGTTGTCTGCACTTTCCTTTCTTAGCTTTATTTTCTATATACCATTTTTTTGTTAATCTGAGCAACAAACATTTTTTATTTCCCCAACCCTGTAATTTTAAGAAAACTCTTTCTAACAAAAGCCTCATTAAGATAGGATGCCTCCAAACATCTACACATCATATTTTTCTTTCGGTAAAAATGTGTTGTGATGTGAACAGGACTTGAATTTTATTGCCAAGTAAAGCTGGCTGTGAATCCAGGATCCATCATGAATCTGTTGAGTGACTTTGGACAAATTTTCCAATGCTTTTCCAATCTGAAAAAGAAAAGAAAATCTGATGTAAAGTCTTAATTCCCTAGGTTATTATAATTAAATAAGATAATGTGCATAATAAATGACATGTACATTTGTATATATACACACACGTATATAATAAATTTGTAAGGCAATTTTGAAAATGAGACTATGCCTTTTTATCTTTTAAAATGCATATAATGTGATATAAATTATAATATTTAAAAATATATATATTCAGAAATCAAATACTAAAAATGAAGTTGTCCTGATAGAGGACTATATCAGGCATTTGCCTAAGGATATTCTAAGAATTTATTTGTCCATTTACTCTATTACATTGGAAATGCTACAAGTCTAAGAACCTCTGCTTCAACCAGATTTTTTCCTCCTAAAAGGAAAACTGGTGATCTCAGGTGGCATGTATAAAGTTTTATATTAAAAGGAAATGTCATATATTCTCACTAGCTCTATTATTCCATTACACAATATCATTATAGAATTGCTATCTTAGTCCAATTTGGCTGCTATAAAAATACCATAATTGGGAAACTTATAAATCACAGAAATGTATTTCTCTCAGTTCTGGAGACTTGGAAGTTTAAGATCAAGGCATAGGCAGATTCAGTGTCTGATGAGGGCCCTCTTTATGGTTCACAGATGATACCCTCTCACTATATCCTCACCTGGTAGAAGGGACAAAAGGTCTCTCCAGGGCATCTTTTATAACGGCACTGACCCCATTCCTGAGTGTTCTGCCTTCATGATATAATGGCCTCTCAAAGGCCCCACCTCCTAAAACCATCACATTGATTATTTGTTTTCAACATATAAATTTTGGGACAGCATAGACATTCAGACCATAGCATTTAGTGAAAAAGGGAGAACAGTCACCCAGATGGTCATTCTTAACAGACCACCATTCTAATTTTTTATGTGGGTGCTGGTTTAAAAGGGAGTGGGTATATAGGAAACTCCATAGTAAATTTGAATACGCAATTCTGGTTTCCATTTTTTTTTTATTTCACAGCTGGTGCTGGCCTTACATAATCTTTATTGCTAAATAATTACTTTGCAAATTGAAAATAACATTGACCACCTCCTAACGCCTTCAGAAATTTTTTGGATTATAGATATGGTGATAAAGATCAGAGATATTATATAAATTCTAAGTATCAACATTATAAAAGATGAAATTTTATTCTCTCCTTTCAACCAGCTATTTTCTGCACTTTAAAAAATAGGTATATTTACATTGCTAACTACCAAGCAAACTCCTTTCCAATTCAGCATTTCTCGTTTCTTACTATTTCTTTGTTGGGTGTCTGTTCTTATTTCAATAAAACAATTAAACAAAGTTCCATTCCCTCTAGGCACTGATAAGATTTTGCCCAATTACTGAGATATTTCTCTTTAAAACCTTAAATTCACTTACGTGGAGTGATTATTTTATGAGCTCTATTAAATCTAAAAGGACATCCTCATCCTAAGTGTCTAGTAGTATTAGCAAGGGTTGGCAAACTATTCAGGAGATAATTGACTCTACAGTTTATTCTGTCCCAACAAATGTAGGTACACAACAAATGTGTGACAGTTTATTCTGTCGTAACAATGTAGGTATGCATTGAAGGTGTAGGCTTGGTTGTGGCGGGAGTGAGGGATCTCTGTGCATTTCCTGGTTCCTTGAAAATAACTTGAAGTCATTAAGACAATATAAGAGGTACAACAGAGAGAAAAGTGTATTTCCTTTTTGATGCAGGGCTATGCATCTTAGAGCTCTTTGTACCCTGTGCTTTTGTTCCACTTTCCCCTTCTGTCCAAAATGCTCTCAGCTCATTTCCCCTCTTAGCCAAGATTGCTTGGCTAGAGCAAATAAAAGGGAAATCAGGAAAAACTGTAGAAAGCTTTCTCAGTCTTCTTCTACCTCCACCCCTGATTTTTGCTTCTGTCCTTCATGATTCTCTATCATGACAAGTATCTGTGCAATTGCATAATGACTGCTTCATGTGAGTCCATAAAATCAGACATTCCTTTATTCAGCACATCGTTATTAAGTGCCTGCTATGTGAAGTAATCAGCAAAATCTGGACTTTCCAACGATATTAACCATGTGTTTTCATAGGCACAAAAGACTACTGACCACTGTAAATGAGACCAGCACCTAGGGTTGATGTCCAGTGGTTAGGATTGACTGACAGTGTGGGGCCATCAACAATTTTTTGCCCCATCACCTCATGCATTCAGAATGGTTTGTTGACCACAGAGAAGTATCTGTTAAACTTTTCTCCCCATTGTGCAAAACTTAGTGACCCATGCAAATATCAAATCATCAATGCTTGATATAGGATCTAATCAATTGATACAACTAGCCCAGATACCTTTATATATTATATGTTAATCTCTCTAATAATCTGAAGCACTCATCTTCCATTTAGACTGACTTATCTCCCATTCTCTTTTTCCTCTGCCTCTTCTCCTTATTAAATATATTTACATGAAAATAGAGTTTGGATCCCTTGTGATCTTAGCTTTGCTTTTGACAGAATTACTCTCTTGTGAAACAATAATACTCTCCTAATGAGTTGATATGATGTCAAAGACATTATCTAAAACAATTGAAATTCAACAAATGGAAAAATATTGATTTGAGGAAGTGCTCTGGAGAATTCCAGATGTTGGGTTCATAAATTGAGAAGTCATTTTATCTTTTCCAAAAATTCAATGCACTTGCTTTTCCATGTTATGCTATTTAGACTAAGGTAGTAGCAGCAAAACTTAAAAATCAAATGCTAAAATAAATATAGAATTGCTTAAGCACTGATTTCAAGCATGTCACAACACTTTTTTGCACTTCAGAGGCTGAGCTTAGCAAAATAATTGTGGTATGCATTACATTCTGTTATCATAATTTTACTCAGTTATTTTCATGGGGAAAATGGGAATTACTAAAAATCTACTTCGATGACTAATGTGCAGGCTTTCCCTGAATTATCACTCTTAAGCACATTTTCTTAGAAGCACATATTCCCCAACTATTGTAACATGAAAGGTAGACATTTAGTAGAAAAACAAGACAGGAAAAGAAATAATGCCTTATTTTATTTATTCCACTGGAACAGGGAGCCATTTAAATATACGAATGTAAAGCATCTCTTCAGAGCCTGCTATTGGTAATTGTTTCTGTCTTTAAGTGATGGGCTATTTAAAGTGCAACAGTCATGCACTCACCAGTCTAACTTATATTGCAAGATATTATAAATATATTAGTCTCATAGAATACAAAATTTACAATCAAAACCCCTTGAGGTTTTAGTGAAGAAAGAGAGAGAGGGGATGGTGACAACAGCCCAAGGTAAGGGTGCAAAATTACCTCCTGCAGTTGCTCTAATGGATTCAAGGCAGTAATTATGTAAAAGAGGGTGGGAAATACATTTGCTAATAGTGTAGTGGAAACAGAGCCCCTACATCTACAATCTCAATTACAAGGACAGGCACAGAAGTAGACAAGGACCTAAGAAATCAGTCTGAAAGATACTAAAATTTCCCTTTGATATAGGTACCCCAGAAATCCCTTGGCAGTGTTGGTGGGGGTGAGTAACAACAACAACAAAACCGAAATTTGTAGATATTCTCAATACGGAAAAAGCAACTAGGAGGTTTTAGGTTGATGTTAGAAGCTTCTGAAACTGTAAATACTCCGAAACTATCTTTTGTTTTATGTTTTTATAGGTTGAAATAAAGACAAAGTAATAAAGAAGTAAAGACATCAAGCTAATTAAGAAAAGCAGAAATAGTTGCTTTGTTGCTATTTTTTTTTTTTTTTTTTTGTTTATAAGGCATAGACACTCATTCCTCATTTATAACAGGAAACATGATTTTATGGCAAAACCCACCAAGAACTGAGGAAACATAGATCCATTAGAAGTTGGGGAGATAAGGAAACTGTTCATTCTTCCCTAGCCTGTCTGCCATCAGCAACTTGGGAGTTCAGCATTTTCTGGTTTCAGGTCTCTGATGCCTCTGCTTCTCTTCTGTTTATCTTTAACTTTGTGTCTTTCTACTGTTTGGCTTCTGCTTTATCATTACTGCTGTTGGGGCATGGCCTCTGCTGAGTCCCTCGCAGGTATCCGGCTCTCTTCAATTATCTTTGTGCTATGACGGGACTCCACTGGAGAACATCAATCAGATCAGGGTGGGCCGGTCTCATCTCACAATAGGACATCTCTATTCTATAGAGTTTCCCTGCCAAGAAAACTCATTGGACGCTTTGGTTCTGGCAATAATTCCTGATCTAATCAGTTCTGACTGGGATGGCAGTGTGACATGGTACAGAGCACTGTTTCCTCAGAGTAAGGAAACTCTGGACTGTGGTTCACTTTGCTTCGAGAGCTCTTTCCCAGAGACACACGGCTCTCCCCCTCACTTCCTTCATGTCTTTGCTCAAATATTCTTTTTTCAGGAAGCTCTTCCCTGACCACCCTGTTTAAAATTTAGCTCCCCACCTTTCTAACACTAGCCTGTGCCCAGGAAGTCACTCTCTTTCCTTCCTTCTTCTACTTCATTTTTCTTCTGAATTTCTATGAACATTGGGTAAAGTATATAGTCTTCTCATTTACTTTGTATAATGTCTGTTTCCCTCCATTAGAATATAAACTCCGCAAGTACAGGGATATTTTCTTTTCCTATACTGGCTCTTTTTCTACTATTGGGTACCCAGAGCCTAGGATAGTGCCTGACATATGGTAGCCATCCAAGAAAAACTTAACGACTAAAAGTGATTTCACTGACAAGGTGCTGTAGCAAAATTAAAGATGATGCTAACATTGTAAAATATTGACTACCACTCCAGTATGGTGTAGCAAACCTACAGATCAACTAGTCCAAATAAGAGGGGGAGGAAGAAGTCCACAAAAGAAAATTTCCAGAAAACAAAACTCAGAGCAATATCTGATTAAATATAAAATTTTTGGGGTGGAAAGAAATTGAATGTATGATAAAGATAGTGCAAAAAATAAAAGCAAAGAATTAGAAACTTTGGGGAAGATTATAAAGGAAAAGAGGCATAATCAAAATATATTAGTAGGTATTGCAAAGCAAAATAATTCTATAGATGGTGGTGGAAAGACAGCAAGATGGCTCACAATTATTCTTGTCTCCTAGTACTCATGGTTTTGTGTCATCTCCTTCCCTTGAGGCAAGAACTGTGATTTGCTTCTAACCAATAAAAAATGGCAAAAGTAACAGGATGCTATTTCCATGGTTATATCACATAAGATTGTAATGTCTGTCTTGTCAGCTGACTCTATCCCATCCTGGCTTTGATGAAGTAAGCTGCTGTGATGCAAACTGCTCTCTGGAGAGGTGACAAACCTAAGGCAGGCTTTGGACAATACCTAGGAAGAAACTGAGACCCTCAGTCCTACAACCTGCAAAGAACCAAATTCTGCCAACAACCAAACAACCATATGAGCTTGAAAGCAGATTCTTCCTGAGCTGAGCCTTGACAGAAGAATACATCTCATACCTAAGTCTTGATTGCAGCCAGATGAGAGACTCTGAAGCAGAGGATTCAGCTACTCTGTGCCCAGACTCCTGACTCACAGAAACTGTGAGCTAACAATGTATGGTATTTTAAGCCACCAAGTTTGCGGTAATTTGTTATGAGCAGTAGATAACTAACATGCTGCTACAATAATTTCGATACTTTTCATTAATTTATGTCTTTGAGAATCAGTCTACAGACAGAATACAAAGAAGAATGGATATGAAAATGCAACAGTATTTTAAGTCTTTTCAAACTCAGCGTCGTGAAAGTAAGAAATTGGGGTGTGGAGTGGATGTGGGAAGTAGAGAAGAAATGGTAGGTAATAGTGCTTATAGGTTCATTTTATAATGTGAGGAGTCAGCTTTATGTAACAAGGAATAAAGGCGTAGATCTATTATGTAAATTTACAAAAGGAAAAAAGTGGGTGAAGTAAAAATATTATGAATAAAGAAGATGGGATACTTTGAGTGAACCAAAGTAGCATTTCTCAGGGAAGGAAGTTAATAGAATGCTACATGATAAAGCAATATGGTAGAAACCTGTTAGTGAGATAGCTGGAAGTAACTAGCAGTAGAAACAACGACTAGAGTTGAAAGTAGTTGCCTCTTGTCATAAGAGAATGAAGCAATAGGGTGTTAATTTTCATTTTCCCTATAAACTAGGTCATTTGAAACCTTATATATATTTTACTTTAAAAATTATAATGAAAATAAATACACAAAATGTGAATTATATTATTTAAATCATAAATTAGAAACAAAGAGTATTTGTTATTTATTCCAAAATATCAATTCTGGCTTTCTGGCTCACTGACATTTTCAGGATTCTCCCCTGCTTTCTAAATATTTTTTTGCCTTATTTTTCAATTTTGCTGATGATACAAATAATACATGTTCACCTTAAATAATTTTAAAAAGTGTAAAGACATTGTAACTAATATATAATATCTGACATTCTACCATTGTGGAATAATTACCATTGACATTTTGGTGAATATTTTTTCTTGCTTCTATTTCTGCACCCTTAAAACATACTGCTAAGTCTAGTCTCGAACTCCTGGTTTTGACATCTACCAGCCTTATTTTTAATCTCATTTTCATTAATGGGATTATATCATAATATCACTTTTAATATTGGATAGAATACTCTTCCTCACTTCATATTTTCCATCTCTGCTTGTATATTTATTTTGCATTTCTAAGAAATTATGCATATTAATAGACAGTTGTGTGTTGATTTCTCTATTGTTTCATGATTGTATAATTGAGGTAATGCATGCAGATAGTCGATCTAAATTTCTATTACTGAATATAAAAATTTATTAGTGAAGCAAATTAAATACTATATTAATATATATCTACATATAATTCCATGTAAAGACAATTTGTGGCTAAGAAGAAATTATTCTATGCATATATGTAAATTAATACACAGGTACACTCACATACACACCATCTCCTTGACCTGAAAGACAGCAGTCTCAACCATCTGAAAGATTGCAATCAATCAGGAGGGAGGCCATTACGATTATCATCTATTCCAATAAATATCATAAAATTTGTATACTTTATTTAGATCCCATTAAGTTTCATTTTATCTACATTTATTTTAGGCACAATTCTAATAAACTTGGTTATATGATTTCAAGCATATTAAAAGCAAAATCTTGAAGATGGTTATAATAGAATACTATACCCACCATATACAACCTATCAATTAGCATAGGAATTTGACTCTAATTAATGTTAGGGCTTATACTCCTGAATGATCTTTGAAAATCTGAGAGCCCATTAAAAAGAACTGATGTTCAAATGATGATCCCATGTCATCAAGGAAAGGTTACATTATCTTCAGCTTCTTTTGCTTAAAAAGAAAATCAATGAAAAGTTTAAAATGATTTCAGAAAAATTTGAATTCAAAGGACTGGCATTTAACCAAAGTTCTTGTTGCTTTAATTTATAACTATCTTGTCATCACCATCACCAGTAAAAGCAGCAGCCACAGCAGCATCATAATTTTTATGACCCTTTTAAAGCATCTATTTGCAAGGTATGCTGGAAGCTACTTAACATTTTAGCTGAATTAATCCAACAACAACCTTAGAAAGATATTGTTATGCTTATGTTCAGATAAAAAACAGGTTAAAAAAATGATAAGAAATGATGGAGTTCACTTTGGGATACACTGAGTTTGAGGTGCCATAAAGAGACATTCAGGAGATTTCAATAGGCAAGAAAGAAAGAAGGAAAGAAAGAAAGAGAAAGAAAGAAAGAAAGAAAGAAAGAAAGAAAAGAAAGAAAAGAGGTGACTTGCCTAAGTTCTAGGCTTCTGCAGTAAATTTTTTTTTTATTTTTTAATTTCTAATTTTTGTGGGTACATAGTAGGTGTACATATTTATGGGGTGTATGAGATGTTTTGATACAGGCATGCAATGTAAAATAATAAACTTATGGAAAATGGAGTAACCATCCCCTCAAGCACATATCCTTTGTGTAACAAACAATCCAATTATACTCTGTTATTTTAAAATGTACAATTACGTTTTATTGATTATAGTCACCTTGTTGTGCTATCAGACACTAGGCCTTATTCATTCATTCTAACTATTTTTTGTACCCATTATCCCTCCCCAACTCCCCTTCACTACCTTTCCCAGTCATTGGTAACCATCTTTCTACTCCCTATCTCCATAGGTTCAATTGTTTTGATTTTTAGATCCCACAAATAAATGAAACCATGTGATGTTTGTCTTTGTGCCTGGATTATTTCACTTAACATAATAAACTCCAGTTTCATCTGTGTTGTTGCAAATACATGGATCTCATTCTTGTTTATGGCTGAATAGTACTCCATTGTGTGTAAGCACCACATTTCCTTTATCCTGCAGTTAATTTGAATGTATGTTTACTTTCTGAGCCTATGCTTGCTCCTCTGTTCACTCTTTAGTTTCCTTCATATCTATGGATTCAATGAACATATTTATTCAGAGAACATACACATTTATATTTCTATTAAAGACTGCTCCTCTAAACTCTAGATTCATATGTCTGATGCCTATTGAAATCTCCTGAATGTCTCTTTATGGCACCTCAAACTCAGTGTATCCCAAAGTGAACTCCGTTAACGCCTGGTTCGCTCCCAGTGTCACTTATCTCAGTGACTAGCATCACCATCCATCCTGTTACACAAAGCAGGAGATCAGGAGTCAGTCTGGACAGTCCTGACAATCCCCCATTCCTCAGATTTCTTATCCAACCCACCACCAAGTTACATCAAATAGTACCTTCTTAACATATCTTCTTCGTCTTCACCACCACCACCTCCCACAGTCTAAGCTGCCATAATCAATTCCTTGCTCAACTATAATTGCCTATTCACGGGTATACCTTTTCCTATTCTAGTCTCCTTGAGGCTTAAGATTTTACTAGAGTGATCTTTTCTTAAAACGTTTTTAATCATGTCACATCTTAAAGCATATTTAATCATGGCGTATGTCTGATTAAACAAACCTTCCCACTGCTCTTAGGATAAAGGCAAAACGTGTACTCACAGCCTACAAGGCCCAAATGATGTTGGCTCTGCCGACTCCTCTAGTCTTATTTCTCACCACACTTTCTCTATCTTTGTTCTCAAGCTGCCTGGCTCTTCCTTTCAGTCCCTTTTCTTTATCTTGCTCTCTCTCACCACAGGATATGTTTTCCTTTAGTGTGGCCAGCATCTATCTTCTTTCTTTATCTGGTTAACATTTGTCTTTCTTTAATTTCAACACAGTGCTCTTTTTCTCATGGGAGCCTTCCTTGATCTTCCTGACTAGGTCAAATTCCCTGTACAGACTTTCATAGCACACATACTTCTTTTTTGTTTCACTTGCCGCATTTGAAATTTTACATTTATTTGTATGATTATTTTATGTATGTCACTCCTGTTAGGTTGTAAAATTTATGAAAGAGGGACATTCTGTTGTTACTCACCATTGCAACCTGTGTCTCTGATACTACCTAACTCATCATGGAAAGTGCCCAATACTGAATGTTGTTGAAAGAACCAAACTCTAAGAATGCTACACTACTTATTTTAAAAACTTTGTTCTCTGAGCACTCCAAAGTGGCAGATTCAATGAGTGTGCACACCTGACTATAGAGCAGGCAATATTGATGAATTGTTAAGAGGATTGTTCATCTCAATCAGATACTAGGAAAAAAAGCTATAGAGAAGGCAAGAAAATGAGAAACTCATCTGCTAGGATCATAGCCACACGTCGGTGTCCATGGGGGATTGGTTCCAGGACTGTCCGAGGATACTAAAATCTGCTCATGTTGATGTTCTGCACTTGTCCTTGTGGAACTTGTGAACAGGAAAAGTCAGCCCTCTCTATCCACAGGCTTCACATTCCCAGAATACTGTATTTTCAATCTGCATTTTGTTGCCAACGCAGGACTCATCAATTTGGAGAGTCAACTATATTTATTTTAAGAAATCTGGCCGGGCACGGTGGCTCACGCCTGTAATCCCAGCATTTTGGGAGGCTGAGGCGGGCCGATTGCTTGAGCTCAGGAGTTCGCGACCAGCCTGGGCAACAAGGTGAAACCCCGTCTCTACTAAAATACAAAAAAATTATCCGGGCTTGGCGGCGGGCACCTGTAGTCCCAGCTAATTGGGAGGCTGAGGCAGGTGAACTGCTTGAGCCTGGGAGGCGGCGGTTGCAGTGAGCTGAGATTGCGCCACTGCACTCCAGCCTGGGCAACAGAGTGAGACTCTGTCTCAAAAAAAAAAAAAAAAAAAAGAAAAGAAATCTGTGTGTAAGCGGACTGTTGCAATTCAAACGCTATGTTGTTCAAGGATCAACTGTATATATGTCTTCCTTTCTTTAATTCCCAGTCAATTCGTAAGCTCAGTTTCCAAATCAGCTACTTAAGAGAACATGTGCCTTTTTTTGGCTGCTGTCTCAAAACATCATGTTTCAATTGGGAAACAGAGGGGAATTAAAGGCATCCAAATGCTCAACTTCTGGCTTTGATTAGATTATTCCTCGTTGTTCTATAAATAGTTATTTAAAAGCATAACAAGCAAGCACATGAAAAATAAATAAAACTGAAAACTAACTCTTTAAAGGCACAAGAGTTTGTCCAAACAAAATTGGTTAAATGAAAAAAAATTAAAAATTGACTCAACTCTCTGATATTCATGTCAAAATGTGAAACTTGTTTTTGTCTGAGGACATAAACATAAGTACTTACTTTAATTCAGAATAAAGTCTATGACAAGCGTGTTTCTCTTATATTTACAAATGCTATCAATTTATGAGCTGTGACTTGAGTGGATGGCAATGGAGAACATGCCAAGTGGATTGGCATAAATTTAATAATTTAATGCAAAGATGATTATATCGGTTTAGAATATTGAGTCAATTATTTAAGAAAATTTACAAATTGTAATCAAAGTGGTAAAAAAAAGTCTAGCGGTCTGATTAATTACTCCAATCTACTAATTAGGTAACTTTTAAATGTTCTCCAATGGCTTATGCAAACATGAAAAACATTCCAATTTCTGTTTCTTCTGTGTTCCAAACAATGCAATTATTGAAGCCTCAGTTCTAAATTTTCTTTATGTGATTGTAAGTTTACAGAGTAGACCTGAAAAACTCCTCTTTTAAAGTTATCCATACATTCTATTTTCTCTGTTTATAGGAAGATATTGTATGGTTGTGGATATTCCTGTGGACACAAGCTAGACAAGTGGGACCCACTAAACCTCTGGCTTGCGAACTTGGAGAATGAGGAAAAGAGGACATTTGTCACATCAAGAGAGCAAATTAAATGAGATAGCAGTTGAAAAAAAATCTGGCATGTATTAAGGATTCAATAAATATTAGCTTCTTTCCTTTCTTTTAAATATTAGTCTTGACAGATGATTGTATTAAAATGTAGAGACCCAGGAAAGGTGGCTCACACCTGTAATCTCAGCACTTTGGGAGGCCAAGGTGGACTGATCACTTGAGGTCAGAAGCTTGAGACTAGCCTGGCCAACATGGTGAAACCCCATTTCTACTAAAAAAAAAAATTAGCCAGGTGTGGTAGTGGGCACCTGTAATCCCAGCTACTCGGGAGACTGAGGCAGGAGAATCGTTTGAACCCAGGAGGCAGAGGTTGCAGTCAGCTGAGATTGTGCCACTGAACTCCAGCCTTGGTGACAGAGTGAGACTCCATCTCAAAAAAAAAAAAAGAATAAATACTAACTTCTTTTATATATGATTATGAGTCAACATTAAAAGCAACACTTCACAGGGATCAACCAAAAATATTTTACAAATTAACACCTACAAAGCATTTTTATCACTGTAATCAATTCATTTCTGTTACATGAAGAAAAAAGCTATTATTCATTAAAACATAATAAAGTGCTGCAGTTAGAGCAGTCATCCTCAGTCTGCATTCATTTTTCTTGCAGAAAAAACACTGATTCTCCTGAAGAACAGGAAAAAATTATATAAGTAGGCATAAAGGAAGGAAGAAATAAAAAGTATGAGGTGTTAGGTAATTTTATTCCTAGTACGTTCATTGTTTTTTTTTTCTCCCAGATCTTACTTCTTAATTTGACGCCAGAGATATTCTGTTTTTCACATTTGTGAAGAGAGAAAGGAAAAATAAAATTATTTCTACAGTATCAATAGTGTCCTGATACTAAAAAAGGCCATCATTACATCCTTTTTGGTGTGTATCATATTTCAAAAGCAAAGTGATCATTATTATGTCGAATCTTCTGTTATCCCCTGCTTTAAGACCTTAAATTCACTTCATATATGTGCATTTGTACCGTGAAAATGCACTCTAAACTTTTCAATATAAGTCAATATCAATACTATTATTTTCTTGCTTCATGCACCTCAAAATTAATACTGAAACATTACATTCTGCTTAGTGCCTCTCTGATGTTCAGTGTTTCACTTGTAAAAAAAAAAAAGCTACCAAAGACATAAAAGTAAAGAAAAAGGAAGCAGAGAAATAAAAGAAAAAGTGTTAAGCTATGTGTGTGTGTGTGTGTGTGTGTGTGTGTGTGTAGTTAGAATCTGATTCAGCTATAAGGAGAATAAGAAAATCATAGAAATAAACAAAAACTCAAGAATTTAATCAAGTGCCAAATCCACCTTGTAGGGTGATATTGTTTGGATCTATGCCCCACCCAAATCTCATGATCAATTGTAATCTCGTGTTGGAGGTGGGGCCTGGTGGAATTCATGATTGGATCTTGGAAGCAGTTTCTCATGAATAGCTTATCATCCCCTCAGTGCTGTTCTCACGATTATGAGTGAGTGAGTTATCGTGAGATCTGGTTGTTTAAAAGTGTGTAGTATCTCCCCACTGTCTTCCTCCTGTTCCAGCCATGTTACATGTGCCTGCTTCCCCTTCACCTTCCACCATGATTTTAACTTTCTCGAGGCTTCCCCAGAAGCAGAAGCTGCTACGCTTCCTGTACGGCTTGCAGAACTATAAGCCAATTAAACCTCTTTTCTTTATAAATTACCCTATCTCAGGTATTTCTTTACAGCAATGCTAGAATGGACTAACACACAGGGCCACAAATTTTTAACTCCAATTCTATAAATAAGTATAATCTTATATCTAAACATCAGTATTAAAATAGACTTTTGTTGAATTTTAGTGTAAATACGTTTATTTCAAATAAAATGAAATCACATATATTCTTATGTTTCTTTACCCATATATTGAAAATTTTGTGGCTTTTTTTCTAACCATTTATTATCCATAATAATAGTATAACTCAAGGATTAAATTAGTGTAGGGCCCTGATTGCAGGCAACAGCTGTTATATCAGGTTGTCTCTGGTCATTAGATTTGGCTTATTGATTACTCAGGGATACTTCTCATACACCTGTACTTCTTACACATTTATAGTAGCCCAGCAGTCACTACATAATGGGACCATTCTTGACACTTAGCTTTTTTTCTGCCTCTGCTTCACTCTGTGTTTGGATCTACTATCCTTCCATCTTGCTACTTCTGCTTAATCGTGGCTTTACTGCCTCGTAGCATCTACCTACCCTCTTCCTGGGTATTTTTCAGTTTTATGATATTCATATGCCTGTACTTGTGCATGTACATGTACATGTGTGTATCTAATTCTAAGGATATGAGAGTAGAAATGTTTTAATCTGTTAATCATCATTTTGGTAGTAATTATGCCAGCACATACAAATAGCTATTTATAACTTAGGCCCTCGCCTCAACGCCATTCAGTGGATATCATAATGATAGTATCTGTATGTAAAGAATGATCTGCTATTGCTTTTACCAGAATAAATCTGAGGCTGTGGTGAGCACTCATGGCCATGACCTGTCTAATATAGTAGCATTTATATATTTCATGAATTCTAAACATTTTACAAGTTGATAGGGCCATGCTATGTAACCTACATAATTTATGGAAAATTCTACTTTGTCTCCTAGATGTCCTTGAAGTTAGAAGCACTTAGGAAAACTTTTGCTTTGAGTGCATTGTATAGGACCACATTAACAGGTAAGTAATTAGATATCTACTGATCCTGTTCATTTGAGTTAATGCAGCTCTTGCTAGAAACTGAATTCCTGACTGTCAAGTCCATTGCATTTGACATACTAGTATATATACCACCCTCTCTAATTTTATTAAGTACAGTTTTAATAAATTAAGATAGTTTATGTTTATGGAAATGATAATAATACATTACATTGGTAGTAGTTCATTCTACCTTGGAGAGAAAAAGTAAACAAATGAATATATAAATGAAACAATTATTTTATAAAGCTTTAGAGAGCCTAAGCCTGTAATTCTATATTAATTTGTGATTACAAATCTGTAAAAATGAATTAAAAGTTATGGAGAAGTCCAATAACAAATAAAACAATCTTCTGTAGGAGAAATGCTGAACAATTACAATTTGTTGCCTGAAAAGGTAAAAGTCAACTTCATAAAAATGGAGCAGGGCAAACATAATGAATATAGATTATTTGCCAAATCCCACAAGTACAACTTGTTCAAATGATGTTATCCAAACAGTGGATACAGATTAGAAACATGTGTAAGTTGAAAAAGGTTTTGGTAATTTTCTGGAAGGTAAAATAATTGAAGATGATGCAAGGATGTTTGAAATTATACATATATAGTAAATTTCTGATTTTGATTTTAAAAACTGTTCTGAGTATAAAAATAACACATTGTCATTGTAAGAAATAGAATTGTAGAAAATAAACACAGAAGTAAAATTAAAATAACCTACTCTCAAGTGTAATTACTTCCAGGCATACACACACACACACACACACACACACACACAGATTCACACATAATATATATATGAAATTAAATATATAATTTTGAATCTTTTAAAAATTCAACATGACACCATAATTTTTCTGTTATCGAAAAATACTCCTTATAAATATATTTTTAATCTCACCATATTTCAATAGAGTGTAACTTTTTGATAAATTTCATAGTTTTTGATTATGAAACTAATCTTTTTATGTTTGTCATTGATTTATATTCATTTTGTGAGAATTGTTTATTCATAAAATTATTCTTGTTTTCCACTGGTCATCATCAATAATTTTTTAGAATATTATAGTTTCAGATCATAGAAAAAAATTCGACATCTCATAAAATTTTGGACCACTGAAACAACTCTGCACTGAAAAGATGTGGTAGGATAAAATCTGACTGAGGGAAGTTAATACATACACACACACACACACACACACACACACACACACACACATACATGCTGTATTAGGGTTCTCTAGAGACCAAACAAAACCAATAGAATATATGAACACATACAGAAAGAGATTTATTATGAAAGATTAGCTCACTTGATCGTGGAAGCTAGGAAGGCCAATGATCTGCTGTCTGAAAGCTGGGGGCTCAGGAAAGATGGTGATATAGTTCTAGTCTAAGCAGGGAGTCAGTGGTATAAGTCCAGTTCAAACCTGAAGGCCCAAGAACAAGGAGCAGGAAGTCCTAGGGCAGGAGAAGATAGATGTCCTAGATCAATCAGAGACAGCAAATTATCCCTTGCTCCATTTTTTGTTCTACTGCGGCCCTCAATAAATTAAGTGATGCCCATCTTCATGGGTGAGAGCAATCTTCTTTACTTAGTCTACTGATTCAAACGTTAATCTATTCTAGAAACACTCTCACAGACACATCAAGAAATAACGTTTTACTAGCTATCTGGGCAACCTTTAGCCCAGTCAAGTTGACACATGAAATTAACCATCTCTCTTTCACACACACACACACACACACACACACACACACACTCATATCGAATATTTAAGGAAACAGAAAAGTCAACTTCTCTGACTCACTGTTGTAATATATTTCACATTCATCAAAGCACCCTTTCGTGTCAACTTCCTTCCAGGTAATTTTAGCAAATGCTGGTGGTACCCTGTTCATATTCCCTTATTTCTTTGAAGCTTCCCCCATCCACTATGGCTTTCTATTTCTCTCTCTGCATAAAAGTTTTGTATATCCTTTGAGCCTTCTTTGTCCGTACAGAGGAGTCAAACCAGAAATGCCAGGGAGTTAATGCTCCATGAGTAACCTTCAGGCAATGAGAAACAAGAGCTCATGTATAACATTCCAGCTTCCTCTCTCCTTAGTGAGAAAATTATGTTTTGTTTTATGCACTGTTTCACAGGGTCCCTTCATGCAGAACTTCTCACAGACAATGGGTAACTCCATTTATTGATGCACTTTTTATTGGTCCTCTTCTCTTCTGTGCTTTACTTCTGTACCCTCTCATTGTATTTTCCTCAAATAAACTACTTACACCCAAAATCTTGTCTAAGGGTCTCCTTTTGCAAGAACCAAATTAAGATAGTCGTAAATAATAAAAGATGGTGGGGTTTTTCTTTCTTTCTTTCTTTCTTTTTTTTTTGAGACAGAGTCTAGCTGTGACACCCAGGCTGGAGTGCAATGGTGGGATCTTGGCTCACTGCAACCTCCACCTCCCTGGTTCAAGTTTTTCTCCTGCCTCAGCCTCGCAAGTAGCTGGGATTACAGGGACGTGCCATCATGCCCAGCTAATTTTTGTATTTTTAGTAGAGACGGGGTTTCACCATGTTGGTCAGGCTGGTCTCGAACGCCTGACCTCGGGTGATCCACCTGCGACAGCCTCCCAAAGTGCTGGGATTACAGGCCTGAGGGACCGTGCCCGGCCAAGATGGTGGGTTTTTCGGGCCGGAAGCAGTGGCTCACGCCTGTAATCCCAGCACTTTGGGAGGTCAGGAGATCAAGACCATCTGGCTAACACAGTGAAACCCCGTCTCTACTAAAAATACAAAAAATTAACCAGGAGTGGTGGCGGGTGGCTGTATTCCCAGCTACTCAGAGGCTGAGGCAGGAGAATGGCGTGAACCCGGAAGGCGGAGCTTGCAGTCAGCCGAGATAGCGCCACTGCACTCCAGCACGACCTACAGAGTGAGACTCTGTCTCAAAAAAAAAAAAAAAAAAAAAAAAAAAAAAAAAAAGAATAGGTCTTTGGAGAGAACTGGAAGTTTTAGACCGTCAAATTTAATGCACAAAGAACTACCTACCTGTGGCTTTATTATTGTTATTTTTTTCATCATTATTTTTATCAGGACTTTTTTTTTCACTGCTCATCCCTCCCCTGATGCTGATGTAATGAGGCAGCCTAGTGCTTACGAAGGAGACCTGAAATAGGAATATACAGATGCACATTTACCCTGTCTCTATCGCCTAAATTTTCAGCCTCAGTTTCATCATCTATAAAATAGATGTAAAATACTTGCTTTTCTAGCCTTCTAAGCTTTCTGCAAGACTTAAATTGGATTAGAAAGAGTGTTTTCTATGCAATAGTTTAGGAGCTGACAAGAACTGATATCAAGTTTATGCTTGAGCTTTAATCTCCAACTCACATGTCCTTTGCTGTTAATGTGTTTATGCATTTGGTAACTTTACCTAACATCCTTTAGAGTACCATGTGTTGAACTTCAGGACTTGAACTCTATGAACGTTATTTATATTCTGCTATAGATGCACAAGAGACCAAACAGTTAACAATCACTGGTTGTTAACTGGTGCTGAGAGAAAAGTTCACTTTGTGTTTTCCTCATGGGCATCTTTGCAGCAGTAAGAGCTTCAACTACAGTTCTCCCCCAAAGGAACCTGTCTAAAACCTGAACTCTTCTTATAATACTTGATCAATCAGGAAGTTCGAAACACACAGTTCTTCGACTTAAGAGCGGCTAGGGGAAGAGCTCTGTTAACCACACCATTGTGGAGCCGGAAATTCTTGCTTCCTCTAGAAGCAGCCATCTGGAATCACTATTACTAAAGCAGAGAGATCCAATTACAAGTATATATTTGTCAGGGAAACGCCTGACAGCTTTTAAAGGAAACTCTATTCTATGGTGCCAAGGCCTGGCCAGGTTTACCTGCGGAAAATAAGTCAGATACAAAGGCATGATCTGTACCGCAGAAACGAAAAGGAAGGAGAAATGGAAATAAAATAGACCTCTATTTTTATTATTCAGATTGTTTTTATATAGAATGATACGTTTACCATGTTTTTAAAAAGATTATAGAATATGTTTTCTTCCGTAGCAGAGAGGGAGCAATCAAGCTCAAATTACAAAGCGAGGAAAAAGATGAAAGTTTAGAAACCCTTAGAACTTTGCTAATGTACAGACAGAAGCTGAGGAAGGCTGAAATACAGGAAATAATGATTACTATTTGTGTTCTCTTTCATAGTTTCCACTTTGGTTAAACTAACTGGAAGGAAACAAATGATTAGGTTACTTGTGTCATCACTTACATCAGTCGTTGTATTTTTGAAAAAAAAAAAAAAAAACAATAAAAACCCAACACATCATTACCGTTTCCCATTCAAGGAGAATGGGAATCATTGCTGTATCTTATTCCATGTCACAAGCTGAATAGTTTTGTTGCAAAGACAGGGGAATATTGAAATAAGCATAATAGTTTAATCATAGAAGTGGTTGTGAATTTTTTTTTGGAGACCAGAGGTTATAGATCACAGTAAACAAAATATCATCTACGGAACTCTCTCTTCATTCCCACCTTTGTTCCTCTCTGTTCCCCTGAATGAATGCTCAGAGTATCATAAGGATCATCATTACAAATGCACAATCTTTTGTATGGAATTTTCATTTTTTTCTTTATGAAGTATTCTCATCCTTTCAAAGAGAGCCCTGATCAAGCCCTTTTTAAAAACAAACAAAATAGAAATAGTGTTGAGTATCTGCCATGTGCTAACCATCAGGCTGGACATCATATCCATTAACTTACATTCATGTAAATTAGTGGTTATTACTTGGTTTCCTTTTCCCTCTATTCCCTTCCTACTTAGAGTGTGCAGCACAAACTTTAGCACTTAACTGTGGCATCTCTATTGTTTAATTTTTTCTAGGCTGAGTGTGGTGGCTCACACCTGCAATTCCTGCACTTTGGGAGGTGAGGTGGGCAGATGGTTTGAGCTCAGGAGTTCCAGACCAGCCTAGGCAACCTAGTAAGACCTCATCTTTACAAATAAATTCAAAAATTAGCCAGGTGTGGTGGCACACGCCTCTAGTCCCAGCTATTCAGGAGGCTGAGGTAGGAGGATCTCTTGAGCCCAGGAAGTGGAGGTTGCAGTGAGTAGAGATGGTGCCACTACACTCCAGCCTTGGTGACACAGCGAGACCCTGTCTCAAATAATAATAATAATAATAATTGCTTCCAGTGGATTTATCTTTGTTCCAAACAGGGTTTTGAACTTATTTTGAAGACTGAGACATTGTGTAATATCGAGTAGAGGCTTACTAAATGTTTCTAGAAGGTTACATCTCAGGTATAATACACTATAATTCAATGTGACTTCAGGCCATTCTTAACATTAAGGAAGCTTGATTTTCAGTAACCAGGAAATGAAAATGACATAGGCTAATACATATAAAAATCTCACTGTCAGCTGTATGACTTCAGTATGACATATAACCTCACTGCTTTTTGGCCCAATGTTATTGGATCAATGGAAAGGAAAAATTGTGGCATCCAAAAGAATGAGCTCCTGCTTCATAGGCATGACTGTGCAAAGAAGAAAAATCTGTAATCATTCTAAAGATATCAGTATAAGGGATAAACCAGTGATTTTAAAGTCATCCATATAAAGGGCTACTTTCCCCTGCCTCTTTCCAATCCATTCTGGATTAATGTTTTTGTAAAATACTTTAAAAATAAATTACCAGAAAAATGGAATAAAACGGAGAAATACAAAATATATATCCTAGTTTTTTTACTCTCAGATTCAACAAAGTTACGCTGCCAAATTGCTATGACTGCTTGTTCTAAATTTATAACTGACTTTGTTTCTGACTTGTAGCACATAATTTGTGGAGCAACACCATTCCGCAGACCCACATTTTAAGAAGTACTGGTGTAAATCATAATCTTATCTTGGGAACAGTTGCTTACTAAATACCAAAACAAACAGAAATCATAATCATTTTGCAGGGGAACTCTTCTGCTGGCCAGAGAAATAAACTTAAGGTAGAAAAGACTTGACTAACCGATTCTCTTTGTTTTTCTTTTATCTTTTTTTATCACCTTTGTTTTATGTAAGTAATTTTTTTTTTTTACATTTCACTTTCTTAATAGTATTCAAGTCTTGGGAACATAGTTCTTGCAGATAATTTTTCATATTTCCTTGTTTCTGGTATTCTTAATAAGCAATCTCTAATTAGCTCCTGTGTTTTTATTTTATTATGTGTTACAGGACTGTATATAAATCTTATTTTATATTAAGTGCTTCCTAAGGCTTTCAAGAGTCAGTTACTTCAAAAGAGGCTTTTCTAACCACTGGTAACAATGATATTACTAAGTGGTTTTCTTTGAATAATAACCATTACTTTCTTTGAAGTTAATGCCAAACTTAATTTTAAAAAATGATATAAACATGTATAAATTCAACAAAGAAAAAAGGGAGAATGAAATAAATTTTATTAACAAATACCTCGTTTGTTTAGCATTCATTTCTCCAATATAGATGCATACCTATAATAAATCAAACAATAACATTAAGTCTTAACATTGCCATCTGCTGGGAATGTCAGTGCAGTGATACATACTAGAGGTAACATGATGAATTTGTAGTAGCTAAAATCATTTAAGTGAAAAACGTAATTGTTTTTCACTATATAATTCCTAGTTTGATTAACTTTTCTTTCAAAAAATCTGAACTAAAGGAGAAGAAAAGTAAGAAAAATTTGCTCAGTTACTTTGAGGTATTAGAGAGAGTTTTATATATTTTCTCTCAAACATTATTTTATCCCTTGGAGACTGAGAGAGAATTTTTCTTCATGCTTTACCTACAGGGGCACAAATTCCATATAGCTTACTTTACTTTCTTAGGTGCTAAGGAAGATGTGAACAGGGCAGAAAGACAGCCAAGAGTTACCTTTGTATATGTTTTCACTGGTTGTTTTATTTCTCCTTATATATATTCAAAGTTAAAAATTCACTATAACAATGACTTTAATAGTTTCTACAAATGTTGACTGCCTAAGTGGAATGTAAGGCATGCAATTTGTAACTTTAAACAATTAAAATTGTAGTGGTAACTTCTTGTTTCACTATTATTAGACCATGAGAAAAAAATGCCCATTTGACTTTTATTGTCCACGTCAACATGCAGTATTTCAATAGCCATAAAAAAACCAAATGTATTGGAATATACATATAATTAATGTACTGTATTTGAAGAGATTTTAGTGGTCATTAAAGATGTCAAAAGCATGTACAAGGTACAAAGGAATCAGGGATATGGCAAAGATGAAAACATCAATAATATCCCTGAGTTCATGTCCTTGGAAGTCCATCAAAAGCATTCAAATTTTTTTATCCTACTGAATATACAATTATATGAGCCTTAAAGATTAAAAGAAAGCTCATGGCGTTTAGGTAGAAAGTTAGCCAGCAAGAACCAGTTTTCTAGAAAAACCCATTACCTTCTATTAGGTAGAAAAACAAGAAGAATGGTGAATTGCTGTTTGTTTTCTCCTCATGCTTCGAGCATGAGCAGGAGCAAGGCCTTTCAATGACTGAGAAATGTCAATCGATCAATAGGCGATGAATAGAAAACAAGAACATAAAAACAAATCATAATAACATGAATTCCAGGTAAGTCTCTAGTGAGGCATTTAAACATATTGCAATATGCTGAGAATTTCCAATTTGCTAATATTTTCCCTAGTTTATATATTTTCTTTTATAATAACACATCAATAGTGTTTCAGGTTTGATTTATGAAGGAAGCCAAAAATAATATAATTCGGGGTGAGTACAACTGACGTTTATCATCCCTTGAGAGATATGATGGGAACACTCTTGTGGCAACACTAAGTCATCTTTGTGCTCTTCACATAAAGATGAAGATTACATCAGAGAGTAGAAATTAGGTATTTTCCTTTCTACTAATGCTCTTTGCAGTGTTACGCTGAAAGATTTTGGGAGGAAACAGGCTATTGTCACTGGTACAGATCTTCATTTTAAAGACCATCTTGTCACTGTTTTAGAACACTGAACAGGTCTAGATGAACTTTAAAGGATATTTCTAACTTTGATTCTAAAAGTAAACATTACAAATTATTTTTTCGATTGAAGTAAACAACTACAAATCACATCCAAACATTATTTAATCCCCCAGAATGACTCAGTACAGGATCTATTTGTTGAAGGTAAATATGAAAATTTTGCTTGAAACTTTTGCATAATCACATATTTTGAAAAGTAAGAAGTTATTTTCACAAAAGAAAAGAAACAGACATAAGCATGATATGCGTGAATGGATAATAACTGTTTTGTTTTGAGTATAGTCTATTATTTGTAATGGCAAGTTTACAATTTCCTACATGATATATGACATTCTGAGTAGTATCATTTAAATATGTAATTTAAGGTTGCATGGAGGAATATGTTCACCTACCGAAATTGAGACTGGAGGGAAAAGTTGACTAGTTTATTTTTAGCTGCTGTTTAACATGCCAGAAACAGAGCTAGTTGCCTAACATATATGGTTTCATTTAATCGGCCACTGCTTTTGGAGACAGGCAACTTTGTGAAGTAGAAAGAATGCTAGGGAAAGGTAATAAGAAAATCTGGGTTCCAGTTTGTGTGCAGGCATGGGTGAAGTTGAATGGAGTTAGTAGACTTCAAGAAATAGTGAAGCCGTTTTATCAAGTAGGTCATCTAGGTAGAAATGGAAAGTACTCAGGATGACAGAATCCTTAGAAACTAGTTTATGATCTCTACTTCCAAGTTGCATGATACCATGTAAGTGAGATAAATTATGAGACATGATTCATGTATTTCAATAAATATAAATGAGACTCCAGGAAATCGATAAATGGTAGTAAAAAGGAAAATAGAACTGTATGCATTTTCAGTCAGTGCAATGGAAATACTTGGAAGGAAGTAATTGAGTCAAGAACATGAAAAATAAGAATACCATGATAGGAGGGGCACTGAGATAATAACCAGACAAAATCCCGAAATAATGGAAATGTGAAAATGATTTTCAACCAGAACTGCTGAAAACTACCTTCGCTGCAGGTGTCCAGAGAACTGTTCAATGCTCGAGGATAGCATTGGTGTAAGGTTGCTGAGGCTAGTAGAAATTTAGCTCAGGCATCTTTGCAGGGGGTGTGTGGCCCTGTGCAAGTTGAGATCTGAATGGATTCTAAGGTCCAGTGAAAAAGGAAGCCTGTGACTGGGTTGCAAACTGCTGAAAATTGCACAGGATGGATCTTGGAAGAATCTGAGAGCTCTAGCAGTTGATATTTTGCTCTGTTCAGATAAAAGCAATGATGGTCTCTGACAGCTTGCTTTGATTATAATAGTATTTATTGAAACTCCTACACATAAAGCACTATGTTAGTTCATTTTTTTTACTTTTGTTAGTTTATCAACTTTTTACAATTGATGTTCATCTTTTTACATTTTACATTTGTTGCTTCACCAATTGTTTACAATTTACATTTGTTCATCAATTTCAACAAAATCTAATGTTTGTATTATCTCTATTTTTCAGATGAAAAAACTTAGGCTAATAATGGTAAAATTAAAATTCTAATCTCAGTCTTTCTATTTCAAAGCCTGAACTTTATATCTCTATCTTATACTATTTGCCTAAAAATCTCTAAAAGTAAGCTATAAATTTATTTTTCTATTAAACAAACAACTAAAATCACATCCAAACACATTATTTAATCTCCAAGAATGAGAGCTTTTATCAATATTTTTGATACATATACATTTTAATTATATTATACCTAAACCACTCAGGATTAATGCTTGATTCCAGTCTTATATTTTCCCATTTATCCTGGAGAGCAGAACATTTAACCTGAGTGGAAGAAACATGTCATATACACTTCAGCAAAAAAAAACTTCAGTTGTATATAGAAAAGATCAATTAAACAGTGGTCACAATGAAAAGAGGACCTTGCTTTATAGGTCTTTTTAAAAATTAGAGCTAGTAATGATAAATCCAATTGTCTTTTTCTAGTTGAAGAAGGAAACTCACAGAGCTAAAACTACTAGTAGAAAAGAGAATGAAGAAACAGAACTGAAGCGCAATTTCCTCACCACTCTCTCCAAGAGAGAGCCATGTAAAACTCACAGAAATATCTTCTTTTGTTGAAATACCACAAGGGATTTTTTGTTGCCAATTTATAGGCCAATCAACTTTAAGTATACCTAATAGCACCTTGTAAAATCTAAGCAGTTTGAACAGCAGGTCCTGTCCTGATGTGATTGGTCTTCTGAGTCATTGCTTCTTTAAAAGACTGAATTGATCTTTTTCTATCTTGACTCTGGTAAAAATATGAGGTTTTTTGGGTCAAATGACAAGTACTCTGCCTACTAAACTACTTTCCTTGATTTTTGAGGACAGAGTGAGTTTTCCTCTCTGCCTTTTAGGCAGAAGCTTGAAAAGTAAATTGAAACATTTTTTCCCAGAATGACTCATACCAAAACCTTTAAAGATAGCCATTAAATTTTATTGTACTGGTAGTCCTGCCATGAAATAGATTTGTATTTGATTGCTCTCTACCTTCATGTTAATACATAATATTAAGGCTGAGCACTCATATAGAAAAAGAATTTCCAAAGTGAGGGGCCGTCAAACTTCTTGGCCAGTTTTTAACATTAATTTTTACTCATTTTTAGTGGATTTTATCTTCTTAGTCAATGAATTATAACTATTGAATAAATTGGATAGTGTCCCTTAATACAAAATATGTAATATTGGGGACTCAAAGAGAAATTATAGCAGTGGTATGTTTTTATTTTTCTCCCACTACTGAAGTAATAATCCCAGTAGAGTTCTTAGTAGTATGTGGTATAGCTCTCACACTATTTCTATGTACAAAATCTTTAGTTTCTGATTTTTTTTCTTGACCAGTGAAGACAGAAATTTCATAAAAGAAACAAGGTAATAATTACTAAACTATAAATTAAATTAGAAATCTAGTTGGGGAAGGTACCAGAGGAAGAATGAGAGGCTAATAAATGCTTTTGGATTGAAACTTATATGTAGATAAGCAATGCTATTCGTTAATGTTATACTTAAAAGAAATATGCATGCAGAAGACTAATCTATATATCTCCCAATTAGTGTACTGTATTTTTAAAAAAGAAAAAGTTATTGCTATGGCTTTTATCCCTTTTCTCTCATCTTATACCTACGGTGTATTTAGTAGCTGTCACAGAGTGGGTGAAAATGGTGACAGAACTTTTTTTAAAATTGTACTTAGAGGTTTTGGTGACATAGTAAGTTTAAGGTGAATTCTATGTGTGCCATTGTCCTCTTTTTTCTTTTTTTAATCTGACTGTGTCATTCTAGTTAAAGTATTTGCCTCATGATCACTGTGCGTGGAAAAAATTCAAAGTAGCAAATTCAAAGGGTAACCAAAGTAGGGTGGGGTGTTACATGCTATTATTGCAGAAAGAGGCAGCCTTCATATTTGTCCATCCTCATGGCTAGTGAAGAGGACTTTTGTGTAACAACATAACAAGGTTTCGCTATGAGAGGCAATCTCTTTTAGTCAAAAATAGACACTTACTTATATGTGCTCCACACTGAAGAATGGAACCTTCCTAGAACGGAGTGAAAATCAGATCGTTGCAGGGCTCAAGCTAAGAGGTTTAGGAATTCCACAGCACAGGATGACAGGAGCTGAAGCAGGATGAAGTCTGGGAGCTGAAAGAGAAGAAGGTAGAAAAGAGAGTGGAAAGAGAGTCAGACCAAGTAAGAAATAATTTTCAGTTTTCCATCTAAGATGATACTGAATGGACAGGAAGTCAACCCAATGAGAAAGTAAAGTAACACGTTCTCCTATGAGTTGCTGAATTCTAAATGTGTTATGATCAGCTATCACTGCTCTTCAATACATTTTAGCATCTGCATTGTATAACTATTATTTTATATTGGTATTATATGAAGCATTCTGTATTGTTAAAATAATTAATTGGAAGGTCATTAGGCTGAGATGGCTCCACTGGCTTGGGTTCCTACTTAAGTAAACAAAAACCGAATTCAATGTAAACAGTAAAATGAAACTTAAGCTTAACCAATCAGAAATTGCCAGCTTTTAACTACGGACTTTCTTCTTTGGCCGGTCAAATATTTTCTTTGTCTTTGTTCTGTAAAGACCTTATAATGTTTCCCCTCTCTCCTTCTTAGTGGAGTGATGAATTACTTGCCATCTGATGCTGCCCAATTCATGAATTGCTGAATGCTCAAATTTTTTAAACTTGTAATGTGCCTAAGTTTATCTTTTAACAGGATTAAGGACCAAAATGTGATCTGTTGGGAGCCAAATGTACAATAAATTCAATTAATAGCATTTTGCGTTTTTAACATAAGTTTGAATGGGACTTTGTTGATCTCTGCATTTTATTCTTTCTCTGATAGAGCTGTGTTGAAGTTCTGTTCTGATTCTCTCATTTCTATCTGCTTCAGCAGATCTTCAATGTTGGCACCCAGGTAAACTTTTCCTCTGGCTTCTACAACCTACAGCTTAATTCTGTGGGTTAGGGCTTGTTTCATCCCTGTGGGTGAACATTTGCTATGCTGAGCTCTTTGGTTTCTCTTCAGGGAACATATCTGTGGGCTACACTCATAGTGAGGATGACTCAGGGCCTGCTGTGGCCTTGGAGAATGAGACCCTAAGAGAGAGAGTGTTCTTCGAAGCCCTATCACTAAAAAGTTGCAAATGAGGATGACATTTGAATGGTACTGAATGAGATACAAGAAAAAGGAGTTTAGATAAAAGCTCTATCATTCAACTTCTTTTGTCCAGGAAGGCATAAACTTCTTCTATGCACTGCTCTGTAAAATTCTCTTACCATTTTAAGACTATTTTAATTGTAAAGAGGGTATCATAGGTTGAGTTAAAATTTGCTCCCCAGTAAATTCAACCCATTGGTTTCTGATCCTTCAGAACCAACATGATGGAGCTGGTTCCCCAACAGAACATAATTTCTAAACCTCTCATCTAATCACTTGAGTTTGAGATCCAAAGCTTTCATGGGAAAGTTATTTTAAACCCTCAAAGACCAGATATTGCCAATGTTAGTAAAACATGGAGAACAAAATAAAAGTGCCACTTTTTTAAATAAGAAATCAGCCTGCATTCTGAATTTGATTAAGAAATCATAGAAAAAAGAAACTACAGATTAAAGATGCTTACATGGTAAACAAAACACTTTTTTTTTTTTTTTTTGAGATGGAGTCTTGGTCTGTCACCCAGGCTGGAGTGCCATGGCACGATCTCAGCTCACTGCAACCTCAGGTTCAAGGGATTCTCCTGCCTCAGCCTCCCGAGTAGCTGGGATTACAGACATGTGCCCCCACACCCAGCTAATTTTTTACAGAATATTAATACACTAATACCAAATGAAATTTATTCAGGAATATAAAGATGGATCACTAAAAATATCAATTACAATAATACAAAATAGTAATTTACCCAAAGAGGAAAATAATAAGATTTTATAATAAATGCATTTGATAATGTCCAATACATATTTCTGATTTTATAATCTGATGAAAATAGAAGAAAAAGATTATTCTTCAACCTGACCGATGTACATTTTAAACTTACCAACATCATATTTCAGATTTGAGTACTGGAAGAATTCTCATTCAAGTAAGAAGGTTGAGAAGAGTGTAAGATATTACTACTACCAGTTTTCATAGTCCTAAAACTTTGAAATTGATAAGAAAAGGGAAACAAGAACCATAAACATTTGTTAAAAAAGCCAAGGAAATTATCATTATTTACCAATAGTTTGGTAGCATATATGGAAAACCTAAAAATGTCTAGTTGGAAAGATTAGAAATAGACAATTTCCAACAATTTCCAATATTCAGAAAAATAGTTAATTTCAAAATTATTATTTTTTTAGTAGTTTTGCACATGTCAAATATAAAGTAGAAAAATATAATGAAGGAGTTTCTATTAAAATATCAGGAAAACCATACAATGGCTAGAAATACACTCAAGAAGAAATGTGTAACATCTACAAAAAGGAAACTCTAAAGCACTACCAAGGGAAAAACAATAAATAACATTTTAAAAACATGAACTACTTTAATGAAATAGAGCATATATCAAAAATATATACCAACATTTGGATTAATAATCAAGATACATTCTGATGAATTTTCACACAATAAACATATCTACATAACCTCCAAATAAATAAATTTAACAGTTTTCTTTAGAGTTACATCTACATTATGAGACTGGTATTGTTTATTACACCTTGTGTGACATTGGAACCAAGATAGTATATGAAGCCTTACAACCACCACACCAGTTATGACATAAAGTATTTCCAGCACTCCACAAAGTTCCCTCAATCCTCTTTACAAATAAATATCCTTCCTCTATTCCTAACTCCTGGTAACTAATGATCTACTGCTGTCATTAGAATTCATATAAATCAAACCAGAGAATATTCATCTTCTGTCTAGCTTATTTTATTTGGCACAATGCCTTTGAAATCTGTTAATTTGTCCCGTATATCAATAATCAACTGACTTTTCCTACCTCGTAATATTGCATTGAATAGATATACCACTATTTTACAATTCTTCCATTATGTATGGATATTTGGGTTATTTACAGTTTTGGGTCATTTTATATACAGCTGCTATGAACATCCAGGTAATGTCTTATGTGAATATGTTTTTATTTTTCTTAGGCCTAATGCAATTTTAACACTAACTACCCAGAATCAGGTCAAACTTCACAGATTAAGGGCACAGTCCTTGACAAGACTGCACTCACTTTAGGAACAAATTAGAGGATTCCCAAAAAGTGTGGTTTACCTACACTTTTGACCAACTGACTATAAATTTAGGGTTTCTACTACCACCCCTCATGTTGAGTAATTACGTAGAATGACTCACAGAGCTCAAGAAATCACTATACTTATACTTTTATTATAGCAAAAGGATATGAATAAGAACAAGCCAAGGAAAAATCATATAAGGCAAGGTCTGGAAGAGTCCCAAACGTGAACTTTCCATGTCCCCAGATGCATTACCTTCCCGGGGCCTCAGTGTGTTTCACCAACCATTGATGGTAATTTCAGGTGTCCAGGTGACATGTGAGCTTCGGGTGTTCAGAATTTTTAGTGGGGTTTCAGTAAGTAGGCATGATTGACTGAATCCTTGGTTATATAATTGAATTCAATCTTCAGGCTCCCTTCATCCCTAGAGGTTGGGAGTTTGAGCTTATATCACATAGCTCCAAACCCTGAAAGCTCTAATCACATGGTTGGTCTTTCCAGCATAACTAGCCCCTATTGTGCAACCATCTAGGACCCACGATAAGTCACTTCATTAGCATAATCTCAAGAAGTGTGGTCTGAGAGTCCTACCCTGAAAAACAAAGATACTCCTGCCACTAGGACATTCTCAGGATTTAGAGGCTCCTTCCTTGAAACTAGGGACAAAAGCTAGACAAAACTAGTAAATATGTAGGAATGGAATTGTATGTTCTATTTTATATGAAACTGACTAATTCTTTTCCAAAGTGCCTGTAAAATTTTGATAAGTAATACATGAGAGTTCTAATTGTTTGTTATCTTTGCTATTATTTTGTACTGTCAGTCTTTAAAATTTAGTCATTTTATTTGGTTTACATTGGTATCACATAATGAATTTCCCTAATGATTTGAATTTCCCTAATGATTAATAATTTTGAAACTGTTTGATATTTTTACAGTTCTTGGGTCTCCTTTAGTGAGGCGTCTCTTAAGGTTTTGCCTTTTTTAAAAATTATACTATAAGTCCTGGGATACATGTGCAGAATGTGCAGGTTTGTTACATAGGTATACATGTGCCATGGTGGTTTGCTCCACCCATCAACCTATCATCCACATTAGGTATTTCTCCAATTCCTTTCCCTCCCCTGGCCTCCCAACCCCTGACAGGCCCCAGTGTGTGATGTTCCCCTTCCTGTGCCCATGTGTTCTCATTGTTCAACTCCCACTTATGAGTAAGAACATGTGGTGTTTGGTTTTCTGTTCCTGTGTTAGTTTGCTGAGAATGATGGCTGCCAGCTTCATTCATGTCCCTGCAAAGGACATGAACTCGTTCTTTTTTATGGCTGCATAGTATTCCATGGTGTATATGTGCCACATTTTCTTTAGCCAGTCTAACATTGGTGGGCATTTGGGTTGGTTCCAAGTCTTTGCTATTGTGAATAGTGCTGCAATAAACATACGTGTGCATGTGTCTTTATAGTAGAATGATTTATAATCCTTTGGGTATATACCCAGTAATGGGATTGCTGCGTCAAATGATATTTCTGGTTTTAGATCCTTGAGGAATCACCACACTGTCTTCCACAATGGTTGAACTAATTTACACTGCCACCAAGAGTGTAAAAGCATTCCTATTTCTCCACATCCTCTCCAGCATCAGTTGTTTCCTGACTTTTTAATGATTGCTATTCTAACTGGCATGAGATGGTATCTCATTGTGGTTTTGATTTGCATTTCTCTAATGACCAGTGATGATGAGCTTTTTTTCATATGTTTTTTGGCCACATAAATGTCTTCTTTTGCGAAGTGCCTGTTCATATCCTTCACTCACTTTCTGATGGGGTTGTTTTTTTCTTGTAAACTTGCTTAAGTACCTTGTCGATTCTCGACATTAGACCTTTGTCAGATGGATAGATTGCAAAAATTTTCTACCATTCTGTAGGTTGCCTGTTCACTCTCAGGATAGTTTCTTTTGTTGGGCCAAAGCTCTTTAGTTTAATTAGATCCCATTTGTCAATTTTGGCTTTTGTTGCAATTGCTTTTGGTGTTTTGGTCATGAAATCTTTGCCCATCCCTGTGTCCTGAATGGTATTGCCTATGTTTTATTCTAGGATTTTTACGGTTTTAGGTCTTAGGTTTAAATCTTTAATTCATCTTGAGTTTTTTTTTTTTGTATAAGGTATAAGGAAGTGGTCCAATTTCCGTTTACTGCATATGGATAGCCAGTTTTTCCAACACCATTTATTAAATAGGGAATCCTTCCCCCATTGCTTGTTTTTGTCAGGTTTGTCAAAGATCAGATGGTTGTAGATGTGTGGTGTTATTTCTGAGGCCTCTGTTTTGTTCCATTGGTCTGTACATCTGTTTTGGTACCAGTACCATGCTGTTTTGGTTACTGTAGCCTTGTAGTATAGTTTGAAGTCAGGTAGCATGGTAGCATGAAGCCTCTAGCTTTGTTCTTTTTGCTTAGGATTGTCTTGGCTATACAGGCCTTTTTTGGTTCCATATAAAATTATAGTTTTTTCTAATTCTGTGAAGAAAGTCAATGGTAACTTAATGCGAACAGCATTGAATCTATAAATTACTTTGGGCAGTATGACCGTTTTCATGATATTGGTTCTTCCTATCCAGGAGCATGGAATGCTTTTCCATTTGTTTCTGTTTTCTTTTATTTCCCTCAGCAGTGGTTTATAGTTCTCCTTGAAGAGGTCCTTCACATCCCTTGTAAGTTGTATTTCTAGGTATTTTATTCTCTTTGTAGCAATTGTGAATGGGAGTTTGCTCATGATTTGGCTCTCTATTATTGGTGTATAGGAATGCGTGTGATTTTTGCACATTGATTTTGTATCCTGAGACTTTGCTGAAGTTGCTTATCAGCTTAAGTAGTTTTTGGTATGAGAAGATGGGATTTTCTAAATATACAATCATGTCATCTGCAAACGGGGACAATTTGACTTCCTCCCTTCCTATTTGAATACCTTTATTTCTTTCTCTTGCCTGATTGCCCTGGCCAGCCCTTCCAATACTATGTTGAATAGGAGTGGTGAGAGAGGGCATCCTTGTCTTGTGCCAGTTTTCAAAGGGAATGCTTCCAGCTTTTGGCCATTCAGTATGATATTGGCTGTGGGTTTGTCATAAATAGCTCTTGTTATTTTGAGATATGTTCCTTCAATACCTAGTTGATTGAGTGTTTTTAGCATGAAAGGGTGTTGAATTTTATTGAAGGCCTTTGGCCTTTGCTACCTCTATTGAGATAATCATGTTGTTTTTGTCATTGGTTCTGTTTATGTGATGGATTATGTTTACTGATTTGCGTATGTTGAACCAGCCTTGCATCCCAGGGATGAAGCCCACTTGATCGTGGTGAATAAGCTTTTTGATGTGCTGCTGGATTCACTTTGCCAGTATTATATTGAGGATTTTCACATCAATGTTCATCAGGGATATTGGCCTGAAATTTTTTTGTGTGTGTGTCTCTGCCAGGTTTTTGTATCAAGATGATGCTGGCCTCATAAAATGAGTTAGGGAGGAGTCCCTCTTTTTCTATTGTTTGGAATAGTTTCAGAAGGAATGGTACCAGCTCCTCTTTGTACCTGTGGTAGAATTCGGCTGTGAGTCTGTCACATCCTGGGCTTTTTTTTTTTGGTTGATAGGCTATTACTTACTGCCTCAATTTCAGAACTTGTTATTGGTCTATTCAGGGATTTGACTTCTTCCTGGTTTAGTCTCGGGAGGGTGTATGTGTCCAGAAATTTATCCATTTCTTGTAGATTTTCTAGTTTATTTGTGTAGAGGTGTTTATACTATTCACTGATGATAGTTTGTATTGCTGTGGGATCAGTGGTGATATCCCCTTTATCATTTTTTATTGCATCTATTTGATTCTTCTCTCTTTTCTTTATTAGTCTGGATAGGGGTCTATCTATTTTGTTAATCTTTTCAAAAAACCACCTCGTGTATTCATTGATTTTTTTGAAGGGTTTTTCATGACTCTATTTCCATCAGTTCTGCTCTGATCTTAGTCATTTCCTGTCTTCTGTTAGCTTTTGAATTTGTTTGTTCTTGCTTCTCTAGTTCTTTTAATTGTTAGGGTGTTGATTTTAGATCTTTCTCGCTTTCTCCTGTGGGCATTTGGTGCTATTAATTTCCCTCTAAACACTGCTTTAGCTGTGTCCCAGGGATTCTGGTACATTGTGTCTTTGTTCTCATTGGTTTCAAAGAACTTATTTATTTCTGCCTTAATTTCGTTATTTACCCAGTAGTCATTCAGGAGCAGGTTGTTCAGCTTCCATGTAGTTGTGCAGTTTTGAGTGAGTTTCTTAATCCTGAGTTCTAATTTGATTGCTCTGTAGTCTGAGAAACTGTTATGATTTCCATTCTTTTGCATTTGCTGAGGAGTGTTTTATATCCAATTATGTGTTCAATTTTAGAACAAGTGCAGTGCAGTACTGAGAAGAATGTATATTCTGTTGATTTGGGGTGGAGAGTTCTGTAGATGTCTACTAGGTCCACTTGGTCCAGAGCTGAGTTCAAATCCTGAATATCCTTGTTAATTTTCTGTCTCATTGATCTGTCTAATATTGACAGTGATGTGTTAAAATCTCCTCCTGTTATTGTGTGGGGGTCTAAGTCTCTTTGTAAGTCTCTAAGAACTTGCTTTCTGAATCTGGGTGCTCCTCTATTGGGTGCATATATATTTAGGATAGTTAGCTCTTCTTGTTGCATCAATCCCTTTACCATTACGTATTGCACATCTTTGTCTCTTGTGATCTTTGTTGGTTTAAAATCTGTTTTATCAGTGACTGGGATTGCAACCCCTGATTTTTTTTGCCTTCCATTTGCTTGGTAAATCTTCCTCCATCTTTTATTTTGAGCCTATGTGTGTCTTTGCAGGTGAGATGGGTCTCCCGAATACAGCACACTGACGGGTCTTGACTCTATCCAATTTTCCAGTCTGTGCCTTTTAACTCATTTAGCTCATTTACATTTAAGGTTAATATTGTTACGTGTCAATTTGTTCCTGTTATTATGATGCTATCTGGTTATTTTGCCCATTAGTTGATGCAGTTTCTTCATAGTGTTGATGGTATTTACATTTTGGTTTGTTTTTGCAGTGGCTGGTAATGGTTTTTCCTTTCCATATTTAGTGCTTCCTTCAGGAGCTCTTGTAAGGCAGGTCTGGTGGTACCAAAATCCCTCAGCATTTCCTTGTTTGTATTTCTTCTTCACTTATGAAGCTTAGTTTGGCTGAATATGAAATTCTGGGTTGAAAATTCTTTTCTTCAAGGATTTTGAATATTGGCCCCCACTCTCTTCTGGCTTGTAGGGTTTCTGGAGAGAGATCCGCTGTTAGTCTGATGGGCTTCCCTTTGTGGTTAACCTGATCTTTCTCTCTGGCTGCCCATAACAATTTTCCTTCATTTCCACCTTGGTGAATCTGATGATTATGTCTCTTGGGGTTGCTCTTCTAAAGGAATATCTTTGTGGTGTTCTTTGTATTTCCTGACTTTGAACGTTGGCCTGTCTTTCTAGGTTGGGGAAGATCTCATGGATAATATCCTGAAGTGTGTTTTCCAACTTGGTTCCTTTCTCCCCATCACTTTCAGGTACAGCAATCAAACATATGTTTGTTCTTTTCATGTAGTCTCATATTTCTTGGAGGCTTTGTTCGTTCCTTTTTATGTTTTTTTGCTCTAATCTTGTCTTCATGCTTTATTTGATTAAGTTGAGCTTCAAACTCTGATATCCTTTCTTCCGCTTGATTGATTCGGCTATGGATACTTGTGTATGCTTCACGAAGTTCTTGTGCTGTGTTTTTCAGCTCCATCAGGTCATTTATGTTCTTCTCTAAACTGGTAATTCTAGGTAGCAATTCCTCTAACCTTTTATCAAGGTTCTTAGCTTCCTTGCATTGGGTTAGAACATGCTCCTTTAGCTCAGTGGAGTTTGTTATCACCCACCTTCTGAAGCCTACTTCTGTCAATTCATCAAACTCATTCTCTGTCCTGTTTTGTTCCCTTGTTGGTGAGGAGTTGTGATCTTCTGGAGGAGAAGAGGCATTCTGGTTTTTGGAATTTTCAGCCTTATTGCGCTGGTTTTTCCTCACCTCCGTGGATTTAGCTACCTTTGGTCTTTGATGTTGGTGACCTTTGGGTGAGGTTTTGTGTGGACATCCTTTTTGTTGATGTTGATACTATTCCTTCCTGTTTGTTAGTTTTCCTTCTGACTGTCAGGCTTCTCTTCTGCAGGTCTGCTGGAGTTTGCTGGGGATCCACCCCAGACTCTGTTTGTCTGCATATCGCCAGTGGAGGCTACAGAATAGCAAAGATTGCTGCCTGCTCCTTCCTCTGGAAGCTTCGTCCCAGAGGGGGACCTGCCAGATGCCAGCTGGAGCTGTTTTGTATAAGGTGTCTGTCGACCTCTGCTGGGAGGTGTCTCCTTGTCAGGAGGCACGGGGGTCAGGGACCCACTTGAGGAGGCAGTCTGTCCCTTAGCAGAGGTTGAGCACTGTGCTGGGAGATCTGCTAGATCTGCTGCTCTCTTCAGAGCTGGCAGGCAGGAACGTTTAATTCTGCTGAAGCTGTGCCCACACCCCAAACTTTTGCCTTTTTAAGAATTAGTTATCTGATAGATTTTTTTAACAATTGTTTTATATTTTTATTATTTACATAACAACTGTATTGAGATATGAGTTACGTACCATATAATTCACCAATTTAAAATATATGGTTTTAATGAGAACACATGGACACATGGAGGGAACAACACACACTGGGGCCTGTAGGGTGGTAGGGTGGGGGGATGGAGAGCATCAGGATAAATAGCTAATGCATGCTGGGATTAATACCTAGGTGATAGGTTGATAGGTGCAGGAAACCATGGCACTTGTTTACCTATGTAGCAAGCCTGCACATCCTGCACATGTAACCTGGAACTTAAAATAAAATTAAAATTAAAAAAAATAAAGTGTATGTTTCAATGGTTTTTAAAATAATCAAAGCTGTGCAACCATCACTACTATTAGGGATCGAATTGTTTCTTCCAAAATTCAAATGGTGAACTCTTAACCTCCAGTATCTCAAATGTGCCCTTATTTGGAAATAGTCTTTACAAAGATAATCAAGTTAAAGTGAGGTAATTAGAGTGGGCCCTAATCCAATATAACTGGTGTTCTTACAAAAAGGGAAAATTTGAACACAGATAAATTCATAGATGGAAGAAGATATGAAGGGACCAAGGGAAAAAATGGACCTCAACAAGCCAAGGATGGAGGCCTAGAACAGATTTTTCCATCAGAGAACTTCAGAAGGATCTAGCCCTACTGACACATTGATCTAAGAGTTCTGGCCTTCAGAATTATCAGACAATAATTTTCTGTTGTTTAAGCCATCCAGTATGTGGTACATTTTTACAGCAGCCCTAACAAACTCATATATCTACAATTATTTTGTAACATTTGTATGCTCCCTCCCCAAAATACCATATACCCATTAGCTGTCACTCCAGATTTTCCCCCAAACCCTCTTACCCTGAGACACAGACAACTTTCCATCTACTTTCTGTCTCTGTAGATTTGCTTATTCTGAAAATGTTCATGTTGAAATTATTGAGAACTGCCCAAATGTTCTCCACATTGGCTGCACCACTTGATATTTCTAACAGCTATGTATGATAGTTCCAATTTTTTCACTTCCTCACCAATGCTTGTTATATCCATCTCTTTGATTATAGTCATCCTAGTGTGTGTGAAGTAGGATCTCCTTGTTAACTTGCATTTCCCTGAAGGTTAATAATGATGAGTATCTTCTCATGTGCTTTTTGATCGTATTTATATTGTTTTTGAAGACATGTCTACTCTACATTAAATTGCCTTTTCACCTCTGCTGAGAATCAATTTACCAAATGTGTGTGGGATTATTACTGAACTCATTCTTCTGTTCCATTAATCTATTTGTGTATTTCAATGCAATGACTGCATGGCCTTTACCTAGTTGTTGATTTGATGCCAATACAACACCTACTTGATGAGGGCCAAGATTAAAGTGAGGCAATAGGCTGCCCAGGGCACAACATTTAAGGAGGTATTCACTCTCAGGTTTGAGCAGGTGCCAGCATATGGATGAACCCTCCTTCAAATGTTGTGCCATAGGCAGCTTGCCTGCCTCATCTAACCTTGGCCCTGGCTTGACTGCTGTAGATTCTAAAAGCTTGAAGTCCTCCAACTTTGTGCTTCTTTTTCAAATTTGTTTTGGTTTCTCTGAGTCCTTTAAATTTCCATATAAATTTTAGAAAAAGCTTGTCAATTTTTAAAACAAAATACCTGCTGGGATTTTGAATGGGATTATATTGACTCTACAGATTAATTTGGGGAAAATGGACATTTTAACAATATCCCATCATCTGATTTGTGAATTTAGGTCTTCTTACTTTAGATATACAAGTGTACAGATGTTGATTTTTAGTATATTGATCTGAATTCTACAACCTGAATAAATTCATTTATTACTTATAGTAGGTTTTTTGAGGATTTTTATGGTGAATTCAATAGGACTTTCTACACTGACAATAGGGTCATGAAAAAAACTTTTTAAAAATAGTTTTACCTCCTCTTTCCAAACGTGAATGCCATTTATTTATTTATTTATTTATTTATTTATTTATTTTCTGTATTGCACTAACTGGAGCTACCTTAATCCTGTTGAATAGAAATGGTGAAAGCAGAAATATTTATCTTGTTTCTAATCTTCAGGGAAGAATATTTAATTTTTCACTATTAATTATGATTTTAGCTGTAGTTTTTCATAGGTGTACTTTATTTGGTTCAAAAACAAGTATCTCTAAGTCTTAGTCTGCTGAGTGCTTTTATCAAGAATGAATGTTGGATAATGTTCATAGATTTTTTTTCTATATCTCTTGAGATACCATATGGTTTCCTTTTTAAAAAAATATTAATAGGATAAATTACTTTGATTTATTTTTAATGTTAAACACCATTTGTATTCCTTGGCTAATTGCCTTGGTCAAGATGTATTATCTTTCAAAATGCTTTTTGATAAAACTAAAAAAGAGTCCAAGAGCTAAAGGAATCCTAAATAAGAAGAACAAAGCTGGAGACATCACATTACCTGGCTTCAAACTATACTATAAGGCTATAATAACCGAAACAGTATGGTACTGGTACAAAAACAGACACATAGACCAGTGGAACAGAATAGAGAACCCAGAAGTAAGCTGAAACCAATCTGGTCTTCAACAAAGTCAACAAAAATAAGCAAAGGAGAAAACACTTTCTGTTTAATAAACAGTACTGGAATAACTGGCAAGCCATATGTAGAAGAATGAAACCAGGCCCCTACTTTTCACTGTGTACAAATATCAACTCAAGATGGATTAAATAATTAAAGAAAAGACCTCAAATTGTAAAAGTTCTAGAAAAAAAACTAGGAAATACCCTTCTGAACATTGACCTTGGCAAAAAAATTATGACTAAGTCCTCAAAAAAATAGCAACAAAACCAAAAATTAGTAAGTGGGACCTAATTAAACTAAAGAGATTCTGCACAGCAAAAGAAACTATCAACAGAGTAAACAGACAACCCAAAGAATGAGAGAAAATCTTTGCAAACTTTGTATCTGACAAAGGTCTCATATCCAGAATCTACAAGGAACTTAATTCAATACTTAAAAAAAAATGACCCCATTAAAAAGTGAGCACAGGACATTAATAAACACTTCTTCAAAGATGACATACAAGTAATCAACAAACATGAAAAAATGCTCAACATCACTAATCATCAGAAATGCGGTTCAAAACCACAGTGAAATACCGTCTCACACCAGTCAGAATGACTATTATTAAAAAAAAAAAAACCAAAAAATGACAGGTGCTGACAAGAATATGACAAAAAGAGAATGCTTATATACTGTTGGTGGGAATGTAAATAAGAGTTGCTGGCAATGCTGCGGAGAAAAGGAAATGCTTGTATACTGTTGGTGGGAGTATACTGTTGGCTGGAATGTAAAGTTCAGCCACTGTGCAGAGCAGTTTAGAGATTTATTAAAGAACTAAAACCAGAAATATTATTCAACCCAGCAGTCCTATTACTGGGTATACCCAAAAGAAAATAAATCTTTCTACAAAATACACATGCATTCACATATTCATCACAGCACTATTCACAATAGCAAAGACAGAAAATCAGCCCAGATGCCCATCAATGGGGGATTGAATAAAGAAAACGTGATAATTATACACCATGAAATACTACACAGCCTTAAAAAAGCACAAAATCATGTCCTTTGCAGCCACAATGTGAATGCAGCTGGAGGCCATCATCCTATGCGAATTAACATAGGAACAGAAAACCAAACACCACGTTATCACTTATAAATGGCAACTAGACATTAGGTACCTATAGACATAAAGACGAGAAAAATAGACACTGAGAACTACTGGGGGGTGGGCAAAGAGGGTAAGGGCTAAAAAACAACCTATTGGGTACTATGTTCATTACCTGAATGATGGGATAATTTGTATAACAAACCTACCCGTGTACTCCCTGAATCTAAAATAAAAGTTGAAATTATTAGAAATTAAAAAAAATAAATGAATACAATATTTTCTGAACATGATTTAAGTTTGCAAAGTTAAATTTGTATCTGTGTTTATGACATAATTTGTTTGTAGTTTTATTTTCTTATTATGATAATGCTGGCCCTTAATATAAATTGGCATGTATCTATTTTTTTATGCAATAGAAAAATTTTAGTGAGTTTATATTATTCTTTTTTCCTTAAATGTTTGACAGCATTATAAACAAAGCCATCTTGTCCTAGAACTTTCTGTGGCTCACAGTTTTGAGTTCAGCTGAATATTGTAGGGGCACTCCCTCTGAAAATCACAAGAGTTCTCTTTATATGTAGTTCTCTTTTCTCAAGAACTCTTCTCTAAAATGCTGCCCCCAAAATCCCAGCTGCCTGGGCTTCTCTGATTCTTGGAACCCTCAGTTCCATTCAAAGAATCACCAGGTTCTGCCTGAGTTCGTCTTCCTTGTTCTGTGGCTTTGAACTTCTCTCCACCCAGTAAGACAGTAAATCACAGGGCTCGCATGTTTGTTTCCTATCTCTCATGGATCACTGTCTCTTCTTGACTGATACCAATATCCCAACTGTTGTCTCATATATGTTGGCTGGTTTTTAGTTGTTTTAAAAATGAGGGTTTCTTTGGTCCATGTTTTTTAATCTTGGCTAGAAATAGAAGTATAAAATATGCTATTAAGTTAAAAAAGCAGCATCCAAACTATGTATATAGTATATATATACAATATACATATATCTATATGGAGAAAAAAGCTTAAAAGTTCAGCACCAAAATGTTTGTGATATTTGTTTTCAAGTATCAACTTTGCATATTTTCCCTTTTTTACTATTTTCTAAAGTTTTTTATGGAGACTATGTATTGATTCCATAAGAAAAATAAACCATCAATGTTACAGTAATAGAAAAATAGAATTAAATTAGGCACCTAGAAATGAACACAATTTCGAATATGGAATTTTCAGTGAAGGATAATGTAGGACAATTATTTTTCCCATTTATTCATATTTCTATGAATGGAAGCCTGAGATTGTGTCTAATTTTTTAATAGCAAAAATATTTCATCATTGACTTATTTGGAGCTCACAGTCAACAAAAACTCCCATATCTTTTCTAAGGAATTGCTTTCCAGCCCATTGTTTTTTTTTGGTTTTTTTTTTTTTTTTTGCTCTCATTCCTTTTTATTATTCGAGAAAATTTTAAGCATCTTCTATACAATTACCACATTACAATCATTTGATAAAAATAAAATCCAATTAAAATGAAACAACATATGCCTGCACATAAAGAGCCAAATAATTACAAAATTAATTAACCTTGCTCTACATACTTCTCTATAGTGACAATTACTTTCATACATTTTAGCCGATTCTTTAGATATTGCCTCCATATTAAAACACCCACACAATTATATTGCTTTTTGATTTTATAGTTTTAGCGATTACTTACTGTGGGAAGCAGAATTCCTATATGGCACTCATGATTCCTGACCCCTAGCATCCACACCCTTGTGTGTCCCCTTTCCTTTTGAGTTGGGAGGGATGTGGAACTTGCTTCTAACCAACAGAATATGGCAAGGTTTATGGAACATCACTCCTTGAGTTTGTTACATTATATGGCAAAAGTGAGGGGATTTTGCAGATGTAATTAACGCTCCTATTGAGTGATCCTTGTTATCCAAAAGGAAGATTGTCCTAGGTGGGCCTGGCCTAATCAGAAAGGCCTTTTAAAGGAAAGTCTAGAAGCAAGTGACTGGAGCACTTCTCTCTCTCTCTCTCTTCGTGTGTGTGTGTGTGTGTGTGTGTGTGTATTATGTGCATGCATGCTGGATTTGAAAAATCAAGTTGTCTTGAATTCTGTAGCTGCAAGAACATGAATTCTGTCAACAACTTGAGGGATCTTAGAAGTGGATCCTTCCATTCTCATTCTTTAGATAAGAATGCATCACAGTGAATATCTTGATTGCAGCTTTGCGAGACTCTGAGCAGAGGTCCCAGCTTAGTTTCTAACTTCTGACAGAAACTACACAATAATAAATAGGTGTCATGGTATTTTTGTTGAGAAATTTGGTAAGTTATGCAAAAATGGCAGGTGTGTGGTAATTTCATATGCAACAACAGAAAACTACTTCCTTTACGAAATAGCTATCTTTCACCCTTCATTACCACTTCCATCACTGCTCCCACCACCACATAGAAACACTCCTAATCCTCCTATCCTTTGAAGATAGATGTGTGTTAATTTGGGAGTAGATCAGTATTAGTGTTTATATAATATTGATTATGAAATATTATTTATAACTAAACCATGGAACACAGTATGTTCTTTAATACTTGTCATAGTTTTGCTTCCTTAGTTTTTAATGTAGTAGTTGCTAATTCAGCCTGAAACTCTCCTCCAATTTGTTTAAATATTCTCTCAAAATAGTTACATACATTAGATATTTTAATAGTTTCTTCTGTTTGAAGAAATATCTTCTAGATCCCTGTGACTGCTTTAACCTGGACTAAGTGACTTCTGTTTGCCTGATGCTATCTTCTGTGGATCACTTCACTTCATTTCCTGAATTAAATGTCTTTCTTTTTTGTTTCTTTATGCCCTAGTTTTGATATAGCAAGTCTGCCACTAACTTCCTGAGAAAAAATATCTGGAAAGTTTTTTTGTTTGTCTTTTTAAAAAAGCTTATGTGTCAGAAAATATTTTATCTACACTTAACTGACGATTTGGCTGAGATTAGAATTCCAAGCTGAAAATCATTTTCTCCTCAAAATTTTGAAGTAATCATAGCAATATCTTCTCACTTCTGGTATTACCGTTGTGAAGTTAACTTTGTTCAAATTGTCACATTTTTATATAAATTCCATTTTGGTTGCCAGTGTAAAAGCTTTTTAAATCTTCTCTTTGTCATTGGTGTTCACTCATTGTGTAGGAACTTGCTGTATGCTTTCAATCAGAGCACATGCTAAACAATTCTGGGAAATTTTCCTGATGTCTTCTTTTGATAATTTTCTCTTTTTTGATTCTCTCTTCTCTGGAACTCCTATTTGGACATTAAGATGTGATAAATTTTTTTTTTAACCTTTCCCATCTTCTTTTATTTCTTGTACTCTTACCTTTCTTTCTGGCAACTTTTCTTCACCGTTATTTTCCAAGCTTGGGCTTTGTGATTCATTTACCAAATACTTAATTCTTAGAAACTCCTTCTGTGTTCTCTGAATTCTTTTTTTAGAGCATCCTGTTCTTGTGTTGTGGTCTTCATTACTTTCAATATATATATTTTTAATTTATGTTCATAGGTTGATTTTGCTGAAGTTCCAGAATTCTAACCACTCATCTCAAAAAGACTGGTATTATCATACACCATCCATTCTCTCCCTTTGGGATTAGAACTGTACTATGTATCACATTAGGGGCATTCTCCTAAAATGATGATGACCAGTAAGCCAACCTGCTTTTAGAGGAGACTACAGCTTAATTTTTTATTTCATGACTTATTCACAAGATAGATGACCTGGTACAAACTGTTTTCAAGGTAGCAAAAACTGTTCTGCCCAGGGTAACCTACATTAATTTTTCCTCATAATCTAACCCCTTCCAGGCTAGTGAGTCTGTTTCCAGATTTAACCCTCTTCATTGGACCATATTGCTGGCAGTACCAGCAAGGCATGTACCTGAATCTGGCCTTGTTAAGACTAATGAAGAAGTTGAATCTCTGTAGAACAGCTAGAAACTTTCCTTTAAAAACAGACTAATTATTTTTTCAACACTTTTTGGAAATGAACATGCTTGTTTGTTGACTTAAAATCTTAATAATTATAAAGAATTCTAAAATTAAAATAAAATAACAGTGAACTCAGGTTCAGGTAAATTTTCTTTTTTAAAAATTTATTTTAGGTTCAGTGGTACATGTGCAGGTTTGTTACATAGGTAAACTCACATCATGGGGGTTTGTTGAACAGATTATTTCTTCACCCAGGTACTAAGCCTACTACCCAACAGTTATTTTTTTCTGATTCTCCCTCCTCTCATCTTTACCCTTAAGTAGGCCCCAATTTCTCTTGTTCCCATCTTTGTGTCCATGAGTTCTCCTCATTTAGTTTCCATTTATAAGTGAGAACACGTGCTATTTGGTTTCCTGTTCCTGCATTAGTTTGCTAAGGATAATGGCCTCCAGGTCCATCCATATTCCTGAGAAAGACATGATTGTATTTTTTTATGGCTGCATGGTATTCTATGGTGTAAATGTACCATATTTTCTTTATGCAGTCTAACATTGATGGGCATTTAGGTTGATTCCATGTCTTTGCTATTGTAAATAGTGCTGCAATGAACGTATGTGTGCATGTGTCTTTATGATAGAATGATTTATATTCCTTTGTGGATATACCCAGCAATGGGATTGCTCTTTGAGGAATCACCACCCTGCTTTTCACAGTGGTTGAACTAATTTTTTAGTTTTTTGTTTTTTGTGTGCTATTTATTATTCTGGGTGTTTTACAAATTATCTCATTTAATCTTCTCAGTAAGTCCCTCAGTTATCCATTAGCTACACCATTTTGCAGAAAAAAACTAATAGATGTAGCTTAACTTCATCGAGTAAATGGTGGAGCTGAGATTTTTGACTCAGTTTTGATTGTGCTGTTTCTACTTCCATACCGGGAGATATGAGATCGTTCTAGCTTTCATTCCAGACTCATGCTATCTCGCAAGCTGAAAGGGTTCCATGGAAAGTAAAATTTTTGACAGGCCTGAGATTGAGAGCTCAAGTATAGAAGGGTTTCATGACTGAGTCCTGGGGGGAAGTTTCCCAATGACAGAGGAAACAAGATTAGAGATCACTTCTAAGTGAGATAGGAAGGGGGCATCTGTTTGCCCATGTGCATACATTGTCATAAATAAACATGGTAGCAAGGCTAATGTATGCAGCAGGAGGAAGGCATTAGAAAATTAATGAAATGAAGTTTGGTGTTTATTCTGTTGTGAAGAACAATCATTTATTATCTACTTTCATGGATCAAGGTCACCCACTTCTGTGCCCTCCATTTTCTTACCAGCCCAGATTTCATTTCCTCTCATAGGAACTATACCTCATTGTCTGCATTAAAATTCCAGTGAATGTCTCTGTCCTAAAATTTCTCATCCAAGCCATTCTTCACACTGTCACCAGAATTATTTTTCTATGACTCAGATTTGAAACCAATCTCCTGCTTGGAAACTATCAAAGTTAGTTAATAGACTAAACCTAATATTTCAGAAGGTTATTCAGCTTCCTTTAGAGACCTCCTGACTCTCTTTTTATCTTTTTTTCTAATTACAAATCCTTGACTTCCTCCAACACCATACCTATATTTTCAGGGCTCAGAGGGGCAACTGGGGTGATTATAAACTCTTCAATTCCAGTGGCTTTTCTACAGACCTAGGAACCCCCTTCATATAGAGATTTACTGAGCTAGCTCTGGATCTGTTCATTTCATGGGCTCTGACCATGAATTTAGATTTCAGCAACAATGAGAATGGCCTCAATAACAGAATGATGACAGGTTTTATTAATGGGCAGATACAAAGCAATGAAGAACCTAATTATACAGAAAATATACAATCCTTTTAGATTGAAGAAGAGAAAAATTCAGTAAGTTAATTATGAACTCAAAGATTAAGAAAGTAATTTAAAGAATTAAAACATATCATTTAGAAATTGTGCTGGTTCAGAAAATATAGGAGATATTAGATTTTTTACACAAACTAAATTCTCTAAAGTATTAATACTTTACCATTACAGTACTTTTAAAACAGAAGGAATAGAAAAAAATTATAAAAAAAAGAGAGAGAAAGAAAGACCTACTGTCACAGCTAGAGGAAGAAATACATTGAAGAGAAGGCTTAATGTATTAGAGAACTGGCTAGCAGGAAAGTTATGAAAGGGAAAAGGAGATGCACCCAAGTCTGTCTACTGATTCTTTTTCCCTTCATATCCTCCCCATCCTCTATTGCTTCTTTTTAATATTTTGAAGTATCTATTTCTTTTTAATATTTTAATTTTTACTTTATTTATAAATAATTTTATACCTATAAAAAGGTTGAAAACATAGGACAAACAATTTTCATCAGATTTCTTAAATAATTCTAAAAGAGTAATAGTAATGTGGTATCTGACCACATTAACTTTCTGCATCTCTGTACCATTTGAGAGTAAGTTGCTAAAATGATGCTTTTTAATTACATACATTTTGGCATGTATTTTTTTAAAAGAAAGACTTTTTCCATGCCACAGTACAATTATAAAAATAAGCTGACATCAGTATGATCTAATCTAAAGATCTTACTCAAATTTCACCAGTTGTCCCACTGGCAATCTGTTTAGCAAAAGAAAACAGAAGTGTTTTTCTGGTCCAGCATCACCTTTTGCATTTACTTATCTTAAAATTAAAGAATTTAATTATCTTTAATCCAAATCTACCTTTCATGATCTTACATTTTTGAAGAGGACAGATCAATTATCCTATAGAATATCCACATTCCCTCTGAAACCCATCCTAATAGCTTTCGCCTCCAACACTCCACCTAAACAGCTCTTCCCAGGGTCCCCTTTTAACTCCCATATTGCTGTATTCTGTGGTCCATTTCTAATTTCATGTAATCTAACTATAACTTCAGACCTAGTAGATCACTCACTCACCCCGAAACTTTCTTCTCTTGGCTTCCATAACATTCCACATTTTCCTAGATTTCCTTCTCTCTTACTGATCATTTCTTCTCAGCCTTTTTTTCCTGGTTTCCTTCCTGATCTCTGAACTATTTACCTTGGAATGCTCCTGACTCAATCTTCAGGCCTCTTTTTTTCTCTACCTATATCTCCTTCCTTGGCTTTGAATACCATCTATACCATCTATGCTTTACAACATCCAATTAGTTATGTTTTACTTGGATCTCTCATCTGAACCCCAGAACTGTATATTTTAACTGCTTACCTAACATCCCCACTTTGCTGTCCAGTTGGCATTTTAGACTTAACGTATTAAAATACATATCTCTGATGGTCTCTATCTCAGTCATAAACCTGCTTTTTCTTCAGCCTTTCCAGTCTCAGTAAATGAAACTTCATTTTTCCAAATATAGACCGAAAAATTGAGTCATTTTTCCAATTAATCCAACAAAAAACCTGAGTCATAAATTGACTCTTCGCTTCCTCTCACACTCCGTGGGAAAACTATGAGAATGTCTTGTTTGACCATCAAAATATAATGGGAATCTCATTACTGCTATCACCTTGGTTCCAATGACAATCATTTTTCCTCCAGATCAATGTAGTAGCTTCTGAACTGGTCTCCCTGATTCTGCATTGTCCTCTATAATCTATTTTCAATATGGCAAAAGAGTGCTCTTTTAAAGTGCAAACCAGACCATTTTACTTATGCTCAAATCCCTCTTCCCTTCTCTTTGAGGAAAATCTTTCCTTCTCTTTGGGAAGAAAAGTCAAAGAACTTACAAGTGATCTATTAAACTTACTATGATCTCAACCCACTCCCCTGCCAACCTTTCATCTCTGCCCTCACCTCCTATGAATAAAGCATAGTCCCTGTGGTCAGGAGTTTGATAATTCACTGCAAGCAATTATAGCAGTAGATATATTAGAGGCTGGTATATAAGAAAGGCTTTTTGCATAAGATATATTTGCATATCTACAAATATAAATATACAACATATTTAATAAACTGACAAGATATATATTATATACATACACACACACATCCTATCTCTTGCCCCAGTCTCTATCAATTTATTAAATGCTTTTTTATTCTTCAATTTCTTCAGTCCAAAACCTTAGAAATATTCTTGACTCCTTTCTTTATATTTTGTCTGAATGCATAGATACATATGGAGTCTTGTAGGAGCTTATTTTAAAATACAGCCAGAACATACCTACTTCTCATCCCTCCACTGATACCACCATGGGAACCCACCATCATCTGTTGACTGGCTTTTTACAGGAGCTTCATGCATTTCTCCTATACCTCCTGGTCTTCTGGCTTCTTCTTTCATCAAAGACAGTGAAATCTTTGCTTTGTAGCCAGTATGGTGATTTAAAATTCTTTTAAATTGAGACCTGGGCTGGGTGCTGTAGCTCACACCTATAAGCTCAGCACTTTGGTAGGCTGAGGCTGGCAGATCATCTGAGCTCAGGAGTTCAACACCAGCCTGGGCAACATGGCAAAGCCTCATCTCTACTAAGAATACAAAATACAGCCAGGCATGGTGGCACACACCCCTATAGTCCCAGCTATTTGGGGGGCTGAGGCATGAAAATCACCTGAGCCAGGGAGGTGGAGGTTGCAGTGAGCCAAGATCACGCCCCTGCACTCCAGCCTGGGCTACAGAGTAAGACTCTGTCTAAAACAAAAATTGGAGATCTCTTTGTTTTAAAAACAAATATAATCATTTCATTTTCCTCTCAAAATTTTCCATTTGCTTCTAGTGAGAGTAAAATTAAAAGTTACCAAGGCCTAGAAGGCCCAACAGATAGAGACAGTAGACAGCCAAATGCCACCCAGGTCATTTTAAACAGGGGGCTTGCCTAAGCATGCCCATGGTAAAATAATTCCATCCCTAACACATGCACAGTAAGGGAAATAAATCAGTGTGGAGTGGCTCAGACTAAGGGCCCATCTGCATATTGGGAGAATGGGGTGGAGCCACAGGGAATTCCCACTTTTCGCAGGTGGGGAGGAGCCTGGCCTCTTCAGCTCCTATGGTAGGAACCTGTTGGGAGGACCCCCGCTTTTCTTTGGCTCAGAACTTTTTAAAAAGAAATTCCACTCTCCTCACCTTTCAATGTGTCTGCGTGCCTAATTTTTCCTGATCGTGAGACAAGAACCTGGACTTTAGCTGTACTAAGGAGCAAAACATCCTGCATCACAACTGGATGTGTTCTCTCATTCTACCATTCCCTGCCTACTCGTACTGTTCCTGGAGCACACTAAGCTTTTGCACCACTCTCCATCAAAAACACACAACAAAGGGCTTCCCAATTCCTACCTCCTCCACTTACTTGAATCCATCTTACTCTGCTTTTATTTTTTTATCACCACTCGCTCTATCTATTCATCTATCCATCTGTGTATCTCGTCTCTAGTCATGCATCTGGCAACCATTTATTGCCTGTCTTCTCCTGTAAGAAATGTAAACTTTATGAACATAGGAAATTTGTTTGTTCATTTTCTTTAACTTGTATATCCCCAGCAGCTAGGAGAGTGTCACGAACATAGCAGAGACTCATTAAATAACTAAAGTAAGAAATTATTTCATGAAAATCTTTTCTCATTTAACAATATGTTAATAAGATTAAACATTATTTTCAAACGGAATTTTAAACTTCATATATTCATCCATCTTTTGGATACATCATTTACACAAGGAAGCTGCTATTCTTGGAGATTAGAATTTCCCCTCCACTCCTCAATTTTTTGGTATTAGAACAACAGGGTAAAAAGAATAAAAAAAAAAAGCCAAACTTTGGTGCATATCCATGCTATTTCCTGAGCACAAATCATCATAGTAATGAAATTATTGAGTGAATGCCTATGAACATTTTAAACTTTTGCTAGTCCTTGAGAGGTTGACCTCTATCAGCAAGCTCGCATGTGATACTTGTGACATACCCTCACTAATATTGTGTAATATATCATTTAAAAATAGACAATTTTTACTTTTCTCATTAAAAATAATTATTAGTAATATTATAATAATTACATTTTCACTGTTTCCTAATCATTTGTGTAGATGAGTGTGTTTTGTGAATGGCTATTCTTATCATTTACATGTTTTTTTAAACAGAGTACATGATTTTTCTTATTAACTTGTCAAAGCTCTTTTTTCAGGAGCAATAACCATTTAACTATATATATATATATATTTCACAATTAGTTGCATACTTTTAAGTTTTATTATAATTTGGTGAACAATGTCATTTTATTTTTATGTAGTCAAATATTTCCTCTTGTGGCTTTTTGCCTTAATCTCATGTATGGAAAATTCTTTTCTTACCCTATAATATATAAACCTTGATATATTTTTATGAGTTTTTTTTCTACATATATACTATTTTAATGCCTGAATACTATTTCATCATGTTAGTATTCTGTGGAGTTGTACCATTTGTAAAGGCAACAACTTAAAAAGTAAGACAGTCGGGACATGGTGGCTTATGCTACTAAGTGTGTTGGGAAGCCAAAGTGAAAGGATTGTTTGAGCCCAGGAGTTTGAGGTTACAGTGAGCTATGATGACTCCACTTCAATTCAGCCTGGGTGATAGAGTGAGACCCTGTCTCCAAATAAATAAATAGAAAGTAAGACAAAAATTACCTAAAGTCAAATGTATTCCTGATTACTGTTTCTTTGAATGAATACCAGATGAGTTCAATGGTTAAATATATAATGCTCCATAAAGCCACATTCATTGAGTAAGAAGATCCCACCCCATGACTTAGGCAAAGATTACCAAATGAGAGAAAATTCTTTCCCAAATTACATTTTCTCTGGGACAAAAACCAATATATAGAGACAGTGTCTCAGTTTGCACTGCTATAACAAGATACCATAGATTGGGTGGCTTACAAACAAAAGAAATTTATTTCTTACAGTTCTGGTGGCTGGGAAGTCCAAGGTCAAGGTACTGGCTAATTTTTTTTTTCCTAGTGAGGCCTGTCCTCTTGGTTTTCTCATGGTGGTGGGGAGTGGCATGGGGCAGAACTGCAGAAAGAAAGAGGAAGAGAGAGAGGAAGCAAGCAAGCAATCTCCTGTTTCTTTGTATAAGCATGCTAATCCCAACATGAAGGCTCCACCCTCATGACCTAATTACCTCCCAAAGGTCCCACCTTGATATGCCATCATATTGGGGATTAGGGTTTCAAAGTATGACTTTTGGCGGGGACTCAGATGTTCAGTCCATAGTAGAAGGCTATGAGTTGGGCTGCATGAGCATCACTATTTAAATTATTTCTGTCTTCCTTTCCTCCCCTGTGGCTTAAAATAGAATTTAACTTAACTAAAAAGTAAGTGCATTGACAATGGTACTAGAAAGTAAGATGATTTATTTTCACATTGTATTTAAGTTTTTTCAATTTTTCACTGTCTTGTATATTATTACGATTTATATATTTGTACACGTTTCTTTATTTCCTTACAATTTCTAAAAGTGGGTCAAAATTTATAAACATTCTTTAGGCCTTTGAATAGTATGTTGACCAACACCTTTCCAGAAAGATTGTAACAGTTTACATTACTATGAGATGGTTGACATTGTTTGTCTTAAGACATGTAGGATTTTCATTATTAGAGATGGAAGGAGAAAAATTCCTTGCTTAGTACGTAGCAGGAGTCAAGACATTGAAATATGATAATGCAGAAATATTCAGCTAAAGGCAATCTATGTGCTACATGGAAATGTGTTTAGCTGGTGATTGAATCTGGATAAATGCACAAAAATTGATAGCTATTTTGTTGTCAGAATTTCCCATGACTAGATTGACATACTGCAATTGTAGAACTTCTCATGTTGTATTGTAAAATCACAGAGAGAAACTCATAGATTGTAAATTCTTTGTAGACCGGGCCTGTCTTATATTAATAGTTACCTCCAAACCACCTATTATACTCCTGATACATAGTAGGTGAGCAAAAACATCAAATGAATGCATTAATTGAATTTGCATAAAGATAGTGGAAATACTAAATCTTGACTCTATCTTTTGAAGTGAAATTCCTATGACCTTGACTGCCTGTATCATTAATTTGCTAATTAATGACAAACTCAATAACTTTGACTTTTAAAATGTTTTGAATTATTATTATATCATTATTCAACTTTTAAGTAATTATATTTTATCTCCACATCTTAATTCTAAATATTTTGAAATCAAGAATGATGCCTGATTTTGCTCAACATCATTGATTTTGATTAACAAATTGACTAATAGATAACTGAAATACGTTTCTAAAATGCAGAAAAGGATAAGCAAATGGAAGGCAAGCAATCACCTTAAAAGGTTACGTGAGTTTATCACCTGTGCATTTTTTTTAATCCAAATTTAAATCTCTAAAATTGAAGGGCCATGGAACTCAGATATGCTCTGGCCACAGTTGACCCTATGACTTTGAGCTTTTTACTTTATCTTGATTGCTACAGCTGAGAAAACGGGAATAGTAATGCTGAACTTTATGGCTATTACAAAGGTTAAATAAAATATATGTCATCTAGCATCTAGTTACCTGAAATTTATTAGGAGATTAAACTTTAAAACAAATAAAAGGGGAAATAAGAAAAGATGGAAACTCTCAGCTTTCCATCCTCATCCACATCTCTGGAATCTTCAGGACTCCTAGAATCCCAAGAAGGACTTATTCTGACTTATAGATCCTGAGGCCATGAGACTATTCTCTTCAGGACAACTTAGACCAGTAAAGCTATGATGCCTAATTGCCTATAATTTTTTTTAACTTTTCTGTAAAATTTGTCTATTTCATGGTGGCAAAATCTGATACGTGTGCGTGCATATGTATGTGTGACCTGCATAATATCAGGAAACAACAAGTAAAATACCAAAATAAATATAGGTGACCTTGAGCATAGATATAACCCTGTATTTTATGTTCCTCTGTTCCTTAAATTGAATGTGCCAATAGCTCATAATCCTGTAAAGCATTTCGTTTAAGTATAGTGGTTGCATATATCTTAGTAAAATGAGATAAGTGAAAAATATGGAGGCTTGAATTCTCAAGAGAGATAATATGTAGGTTTTTTTAAGAAAAATGAACATAGATTTTTACAGTGGGGAGGTGAATAGTGGGTGAGTAAAGTGGATAAAAAGGTGCCTTCTATGCTTTTTTAATTGATTCTAATCAAATCTTTAAATAAATACCTACAGAAATAGGAATTGATTCTTGCCTGCTGGCTAAGGCCAAAGGCATTCATCAAAGAGACAGATAGAAGACTAATTTTTATTGTTATATAAACACAGAGAATTAGGAGTTAGAAGGCTCATTTCTAGTTGTTGGTGTTTGCCTAGGTATTTTGGATTAAGGAAGTAAAAAAAAAGTTCCTTTCATATAAAATATTAAACCTTGCACATGGAAAACAATTTTCTCACTATGAAGGACTTTCATACATAAACACACAACATGAGTACACACACAAACCTACATACAGACATAATTATATGTGGGCAAATATGTGGGGATGGATAGACAGGTAAATACTGTGTTTAGGTACATATATTTACCAACAGAAAATATGGGAAAGAGTTACTGGAATATTTCTTAGCTGCCCCTCTGGGTCAGACATTGCTCTATCATTCTCTTCTATTTGAGTACTATTTTTTGTTTGTTTTAATTATTTTGCTTACATTACTGTGGTTCTAGTTAGAATAAATTAGAATAGTTTCTAAAACTCTTGCTCTACATCTTTTCTCAACAAGCCAGCCTTGTGTGTTTCCTCCAAGTTATCACTGTCCTGGGGGCTGAGATCTCTTGTGTACCTGCCTGTTTCCCTGGCAGTGCCAAGTCAAGGCTGTGACAGAGGTTAAAAAACAAAAAAAGGGTAGGAATAAACTGCAGACTGCTAGCTGCAAAATGATATGCCTGCTGATTCCAGAAATTGGCCCAAGAATTAGCAATCATTCTACAATAGACACACTAAATACCCAGAAAGGATGCTTTTGCATTAAGCCATTCATCTTAGAAAGATGTCACACACTCTTCTAAGACTTCCTCATTAAATAAGCAGCACGAAAGGTACAGGTCACAGCAGGGAATCACTTAACAAGATTTCACACTAGGAAAAGTGTTTAAATTCACAGCACTTGCACTCTATCCGTGCTGCACTTAAATCTCAATTTTCCAATCATATCACAATTTCTATTTCTTACTTATTTAAGCTACTTAGAGTAGTGAAGACCCTTTTCTTTTAGGATTTAAGGAATCTACATCCATCTTCACACCTCTCTGATCATGTGTGCCCTTCTCCATCCCCTCTTACCCTTTGGATCCTTCGATAAAGTTCTTTGCAATTATTATCATAACATCGTGGTCCTACATAAAAAATATCATAGAAATATGAATACAGAGAGGATATCCTTTTATCTTCATATCTTTGATAGTTACTATGATAATATGACTCTTAGATTACTCTTACGAGAAAAACTTTGCTTATGATATAATCATGACCTCAACCAGGTTTCTCCCAAATACATGAGGGAAGGAAGAATTGGCAAAGGTAAAAATTCTTTTTTATATAAAAAAGAGTCTTCTTCATTCTGTCATAAAAGTATTACATATTTAGTATAGGAAAAGAAAAAAGCATATAAAATAAACCACTGATTTTAATGCATCTTCTAGTATTTTTGGATGCCTCAAATTTAGTAATTTAAAAAATTATATTACTATTTTTCACCAACTTTGTATCATAATACTTTTCCTGTAATGATGGACTCTTTATAAGCAATTTGAGTCACTGACATTGAATGGATATACTACTTGTGTTAAACATTTAAATTATTTTCAATGTTCAGTTCTGAAAAATATTGTCAGATATAAACATTTTAAAGATTCATAATATACCTGTTGTTTATTCTGCCCAGAATTATATTTACGTTTTTTAGGAAGTTGTCTGCCTGTTCTAATTACTGGAATCAAATAGACAAATTGAGAGAGACACCTTTTAATTCTCCTCACTCCTCTGTTCATAGTGATTGTTTTAGGTTGGAAATCTACACCAAAGAGGCCACAGTCTCCACTGGCCATAGCAGACTGACCCGGGATGGAGGGCACTGGAGTAAAGCTGGGCTATTGAGTACCCTTCTTTAGGATTTTTAAAGTGTATCAAAGACAGCAATTCAGTTCCTCTCTGGTAGTGGAAATGTGAGGTCCTTAGGTAGCTGCCAGCAAGGCTCCCCACTTCATGGAAGAATGTGCTCAGCAGAAAAGGAAGACAAACAGCAATGAGACCAAGTTGCTGCTTGCAGCATATCAGTTTTGGTTCTTGTTTTCAGTGCAGCCCAGCCACAGTTACGTGTATCTTCTAAAGAATGCTGCTTTTAGCGTAAACTTTGCTTAAACAGAATTTTTGTTTCTTGCAACCAAAAAAGTGCTGATGAATGCAATAGATACAGTTTCTAATTTATTCAGGAAGTAAAAAGCTTTTATTTTAAATGTTCCCATCAGCATTTGATATTTTCATTAAAATTTCATTTTGTATTTTCAATATTTGATTATTTTCTTGTGTGACTGAACGTTTTTTGTGTTATTTGGTGTATAACTCTACTGTGGTTTGCATTCTTTAGCATTACAAAGTACCCTTATTAGTATTTTTCACATAACACCTTTTTGCCTAAATTCAACCTTGTTGGAAATTCAAATCTTAACTCCTGCTTCTTTTTTGGCTGATAAAATTATGTCTCTCTTTTGTATGTGGACATTGAGTCAGTTTATTTGGAGTTTCTTGCATAATATATAAAGTTGGATTTTACTTTGAGATCAAATTTGAAAGTAATTATTTTAATTAACAGCTTAGTTTATCTGCTGTTATTGATATGGTAGACATGTTTGACCTTAGTTCTATTATGTCTATAAAAATCTTTTGTGGTCTGTTTGCTTGGCTTCATATACATGTTCATGCATAGGTGTGCGTGCATGTTATACATTCACGGTGCATTTCTGATAAAGAAGATGATTTGAGTTTTTGTTAGAGTGTTTATTTTTTAAGGATACCTTTAATCTCCTCTTTCTTGGGACTGTATCTATTAATTTCCTTCTGTGAACAATAACAACATTAGCATATTTCTCCCTTTTCTCTTTTCCCTACTCTTTCCTCCACCACTTAGTTTCAGTCAATGCATTATTTTTCTTAATGTTTGCTTATCTTTGCATACTTAAACATACCTGTATGTCTGCTAATTTATTTTTATTTCTAAATAATAGGTCTGATTACTCCTCCCACTCTTAAAACTGAGAAAATCAGCAATTTAGTTTACCTCCATTCCCCATCCTTTTTCCCTGCCACATTCCGTTATACTATTTTTATTAGTTATATTATCAGTGCATATAACATTGTTTATTATGTTGCAGGCTTTAGTTTTTGCATATTTCAAATCTTAGTCCCAAGCTAAATATGATCAATACTCACCACCAGTTATTTTATTATAATTTATTCAATTTTCTCTTGGTTGGCTGATACTTGTCTTCTAGTAGGATACTAAAGAGAGTTTATGGGAAAAATATACTGGAGTTCTGCATGTTCAAAAATATTTATGTGTTGCCTGTATATATAATGAGGGATAGGCTGAATATAAAATTCTTAGGTCACTCTTTCCTTGAACATTTTGTAGGTTTCATTCCACAGCATTTATATGAGTTGAAGGTTTCTGTGGAGAAGCCACAAGCAAAACGATTTTTTTCCCCTGTTATAAGGCATTTGATTTTTGGTCTGGCTGCTACTCAAATACTTTACTGATCTTTCAAGTATTGTAATTTTCTTGTGATATGTCTTTGTGTTGCTATTTCTTGTGAGTTTTATCTGGGCTGTAATGTAGCTTTTTAAAACTATGTTGCTTAAGCTTCTTCAATTTGGGGTAAATTTTTTTGAGGTGTAAACCTTTACCATTTATTTCTCTTATTAGTTTGCTTCTTTAGCACACTAAAATCTAAAATCTACTAAAATTTTATATGAAAATGTAGATTTTTCATATATTGACTCTTTTTTTGCTTGTCTTCTACTTCATTTGTTTTCTTTAGAGCTCTTTTTAGACTTTTTGATTAACTCTTCTCATTTTTACATCCATTTCTCATATTAATTTTTCCCCAACAGTGTCTTTTCTCCTTGTGCTGCTTCTTTTTTTCTTGTTTTGAAGACGGTCTTAATTTCTTCTTTTCATCCCATCCCCCAAGATCCACCTACTGAAACTCAAGTTAAAAATATTAAGACTAGATTGAATAATACCCAAAGTTCTGTAAGTATATAATCCCAAATTCCATAGTTTGTCATCTATATTTTTATTTTGTTCTTGATTCATATAGGATAACATATAGCCAGCCATTTGACCATGATTTTCATCTACTGTGAAAAAACAGATTTCTGGTATTTGCATTATTTCACTTTTTCTTTATTCCTTTTCTCCTTTACTGCTTTTTGTTTGTACTTTTTTCTAGAATGCATGTTGATTCCTTTAATTTACTTATATAGTACTCATAATTGAAGGACTGAGTAGTTTCTGTATCTAGTTATAGGAGTCGGATTGGGGGAAGAATGCAAAACATAATTATAAAAGTATTTAAGGTACTGTCCTCTTCAGAGCCAGCTTACTCTGGGTTCTTAGCAGCAAAGATCAGTGGATGAGTACTGGATCCCCACACTTTAAAACTGTATATAGATAAGATAACTTTGTCCTAAGGAAGAGTGGCTATGCATTTAATTTTCTAGTATTCAATGCAAGGAGCAAGCAGGCTTGAGAACATCAGTTTCACAATCACCAAGTTTAAACTTGATGAATTTTAAAGAAACTTGAAGAATAGTATGTTTCTATGGCTTTGAGTGATCTTCTCATGGCCACTGCACAGGGACAATGCCTATGCAATTCCTGGATAAGTGAGCTCACCTCAAAATAATCTCCTGCCCCCAAGCTGCTCCTGGTGAGAGACAATCTGCATTTTAATATTACCCATACCAGGGGAAGTGGAAATTAAATGTTGATAGGTCAAGTTATAATTTCAAGTGGGGTAATAAGACCTTATATTTACTCTGCAGTTTACAGTTTATAAAGTAATATCTCGTGCTCACTTCACTTTACTTTCAAACTCTCCTGGGAAGTAGGCATTATTATTCATGTTTTATAGTTATGGAAGTCTACATTCATTGATATTACGTCTCCATGCTTCACCCTAAATGAGTGTAAGAGCTCAAATCTGGATTCCAGACTTCGTGTATCTTTTCCTTCATAGCACAGATGATTAAAAGTACCAAAAGAACAGTGCAAGAGAATATGGGAGAGTAATAAGGTGAGAGTAATGTTTTAAAATCAACTTTTACTAGAATCGGCTTATGTCCATTTTTTAATGTTAGCTCTGTGAAATTATAAAATTATAGCTTTTAATGCTGAAAGTAACTTTAAGACATTGTATTTATTTTTATTTTTATTTTTATTTTATTGAGACAAAGTCACCTCTGTTCCCCAGGCTGGAGTGCAGTGGCACAATCTCAGCTCACTGCAACCTCAGCCTCCCGGGTTCAAGTGATTCTCCTGCCTCGGCCTCCTGAGTAGCTGGGATTACAGGTGCCCGCCACCACACCCGGCTAATTTTTGTATTTTTAAGTAGAGACGGGGTTTCACCGTGTTGACCAGGCTGGTCTGAAACTCCTGACCTCAGGTGATCTACCCGCCTCGACCTCCCAAAGTGCTGGGATTACAAGTGTGAGCCACCGTGCCCAGCCTAAGACATTTTAAAAGACATTTTTAAATCAAGCCCCATTTCTTCAGAAAAATAAGGACTATTATCAGAAATTAAGCCACTTGATAAAACTAATGCTCAAAGGAGTTAAGTAACCTGGCCACAACTAAGTAAGTAAATTGAGTCTAGAAACTTGGGCATTTTATTTCAAAATGAATCAAGATAAAATATGTTGTATCTTTGGACCAAACTACAAAGATGCATTCTTATATTTAGACAGATTTTTGGTTATCTTTCGTTACTTTAGGTTTGGGGAAGTACTTGGAAAAAAGAGGTGTGAGATTTTGCTAACAATATAATTCAAACTCACAGACTAGAAGATTTAACCAAAAATCAATCTATTGGTGTTTAAATCCAGTTTTCTCCTAAGATGAAGAGAGAAAAAGCAAAAAAAAAAAAAAAAAAAAAAAAATTAACAACAAAAGATGCTTTTCTTTAAAATTCTCTAAGATTAAATAGAAATAAATCAGAAGCATATCAACAAATATGTCCCTATAGTAGCTGAAAATACTAATAAGAATTATTAGAAGCAAAACAATTGTCTTGGATCTCCAAGTCATGAAGAATGGATCTAAATTTTTTAAGGAAACCCTAAATAGAATCTCTTATTTCATTCTTAATTTTATTGTCTCCAAAAAGGAGACAGAAGCAGCATCCCTATTGTCACAAACTCTAAATGAGATAATTTAAGTAAAGCACCTGGTACAATTTTAGGCACATAGTAAGCACTTGATAAATGTTAATTGTTGTTTCTTTCTTTTACTTCATAAAAATGCAGGATATATTGTGCCTTATAGAAGGGACTGATCCTGGAGGGAATGGCAGCATTTCTGTCCTGCTCAGTAAGCACATGTAACAAGCTGTTCCCCAGACATTCTAGTCTTCAGTCAAAGCCTCATGTTAAACAGATGTCCTTATGTTCAAATTTTGGCCTTTTTTCACTCTTCATATCTCTCTGAGTATTCATCAAACGTTTCTTTATTGTTTCCCATTTCCAAAAGATTTCTCAGTATAGCTATCACATCGGTAGTAGGGTAGTAAAGACCATAACTCTTGATATCAAACACATAGATATAATTACATAGTCGTTTGGAAACAATATCACATGCAGTTCTCTAACCCTATGGCTTAGCAAAGATATCCATTGGGCAGTTGGGATGAAAGCAGGAGTTGGAGCGAACCATCTACAAATAAGTTCAAGTACGATGGGCTTTTGCACTACTATCCTCAATTTGATTTGTTTTATACATTACAGTTGACTTCATATCACTACCTTAACTTAAAGTGGTAAATCAAATATTAGACTTTAAGCATGATAGAAAAGCTGCTTTTTGTAGAGGTGAGAATATTAGGGTCCCTTAAAATAAAATATATTAGGTACCATACACTCTTCCTACCTTTAGAACTATTTCCTATAGTTATTGGTGCTTGTAATAGTTATTCTAGTTCATTGAGACCACATTTATCTTCTGGACCTCTCGCCTTTGTAGATCCTGTGAGACTCTCTGGCATTTAACGCTTCTAGCAACAGTTAATCATTATATTAAATTCTTCACATTAAAAGTTTGACTCTGCAGCAGTCCAAAGGGTATCAATATGCTGACATAACATTTTTAACTTACTATCTCTCCAATTCTTTCTCATATATCTATATGTGTAATAGATACACATAAAGATTATGAAGTTATCCATGAACTTTCCATAAGTTAATGATACAAAGTATCATGGTGAGTATAAAATTTGCTTCTCATAAAAGACAAACATATCTTTTGTTGCAGATAACGCTATTGCCATCCTAAAGTTACAGCTAGATTTTAGCTAAAGTTGGAATTATAAAAAGATGACTTAGTAAAACACTCTAACCATGACTAGTACTCATATGGCCTCAGACTGTTTTTCATAACAAGTCTTTTTTGAATATATAATGACATGAAACTGACTAGTAAAGGTTTGTGGAGGGAAGTGGCATTTCTATAAAGCTGTTTCAAATGACATCGCCTTTGGTGCAGATGCCAAAAGAGACAGTTATGAAACACTTGAGGCAGTGAGCACATTCTCTAATCATTAGCAGCCTGTTCAATCATTTCCATCTCAACTTACTTCAATTCCAGATCAAGGAGATTTTTGTGTGCCTATGATGTAAAATGTACCGGCATTGTTAACTTCACACCTTAAAAAAGGCAACATGTAAAAATGAAGTATAAGTGGTTAGAGTATTATATACATATGACTGGTATATCAAATCAAAAATCAAGATAAGATAATAATTATTTTCAATTTTTTAAAACACATGGTTGCTGTATACAGGATTATTGTTAGAGTTTGGTAGGTATATTTACAAATATGAATGGTAATATTATTCAGGTTTCTATGCCTGACTCTCATCCTTCTTGCTAAACCTTATAATACAAAGATTCTGAGAATAATTTAAAAGTATTTTAGAAGAACAAAAAGAAAAGGAAAGGCAAAGCCCAGAAAAAAAATTTTAAAAATTAATACAAAGGTAATTTTATATTTTCAAAATTCACTACAAATTTGATAAATTTCTAATATAACATATAGAGGTTTGATCTCAAATTAATAAATAATATGTACATATCCTTGTGAGTGTTGAGGGTACACACACATACAGTGAATTCACCTTGTCTATAAATTGAACCAATTACCATAATTGAAACTCTGGGTGGGAGTCTGTGATTTCCATCAATAGGCATGGATATAATTAACCAATAACTATGGAGGATGTGGTTCTACAAAGTTACAGATTTTTTTCTAGCATCTACTGGAAGCACATCTGTTATGTCATATGTTATTGGCTCACCATGACTAATGATCCAATACACTTTAAAATATTTGCATAAGACTTGACTTCTATGTTTACATACTTACGAAACCACCATCATTTCCCGCCCTTGTCTTTAAAGTATTTCCCTTGTTCTAATTTATCCAGTTACATATATCACTTTATCTTCACACACATATACTGTTCTTTATTATAATATGTACCAAACCAAGCACAATAAAAAAATCACAGCTGGCATGTGTATAGATATCTTCTGTTTTATTGCACATCATTATTTACTAAAAATAAAACTTCAGGATAGATTTTGCAGACTTAGGAATCCCTCAAATTTACAAGGGTTCACATTCACATAAAAAACTTTTTTGTGAACATCGACAAATAGTCGAACATATCTATCATACAGATAGTTGACATATCTGTATCTATCATTTATAACATTATCCCTGAACAAAAGCTCTCATTAGAGGTCTAATTTTCTGCATTTTATTATATAGGACTCTGGGTGATGTAGGTAGGCTGATTTCTCTCCCTCCCCACTTCCTTTCCCAGATCTTAAATATACTACTACTACTATTACTACTACTACTACTGCCACTGCTACTGCTGCTACTGCAACTGCTGTTACTACTTCTACTACTACTAAGCTGGAGAAACTTAGAAAGTCAACTCTGCCCTTTACTCACTCAGTACACATTTACTAAGGGCCTGCAGTGTGCAAATCTCTGTGCTAGATGTTTTGAACATATAAAGAATATATTTTTATCCTTGCCTCAGAAAAAATTGCTGAGATCAGTAAGAAATACAGATATCACACAGAGTGCTCCACATAGACAAGATAAAAGTGAATAAATAGCTGACTGCATTCTGTTGGAAAATCTGGTGTACTTGAATTTATGCCCAGTACAATTGCTGTCCTGTCTACTTTGGTTGAAAGACATCAAGTTACATGTATAGATACTTGATAAAATAAAATGACTTCCAACAAGTAAATGTATGTTCTCTCTCTCTCTCTCTATCTTTATCTTTCTGTCTATCTTTATCTCTCTCTCTATCTTTTAGAGTCAGGGTCTTGCACTGTTACCCAAGCTGGAGTGCAGTGGCGCCATCATAGCCCACTGCAGGCTTGAACTCCTGAGCTCAAGTAATTCTCTTGCCTCAGCCCCCTGAATAGCTGGCACACACCAACACACTCAACTAATTTTTTTGTTTTGTTTTGTTTTTTTAGAGACATGGTCTTGCTTTGTTGTCTAGTCTGGTCTCTAACTCTTGACTTCAAGTGATCCTCTTGCCTTACCCTCTCAAAGTGCTGGGATTATAGGAATTAACCACCATGTCTGGACTTTTGTTTTTTCTTATTGAAATTAATCGGCTTTAAAATAATAAACATTTACTATTATTTTTATCAGAGGCCTTGCTTAATTCAAATTGTACCCCCAAAACCACTATCAGTCTTTGGTAGTAGATGTCATGTATAGGTATGTTGATATTACATGAATGGCCCACCATTTGTCTGTAAGCTGAAGATCACTTTTATAAAGTAAAGAGATGCTATACACAACAACAAAAAATAATAATGAGAAATACTGAAAAAAATAATAGAAAAAATGTCCAATAACTGAACATTTCTTTGTGTCTCTTGGTTGTATTCTATGTGGATTTTTTTTCTAAAAACTTTTAAAATTTAAACTCTTTAAATGCTCACTGCATGTCCTGGCAAATCTCCAGGTATTCTGAGCACCTGCTCACCTGGATTGGCAACCTCAGTTGTCACGCCCTTCCTGTGCAGAGATCTGGGTGCAGAGGAGGCCCTCTCTGCTTCATGCCTAGGCAGATGTCCAAGCTTTTGGAGCACTCACTCTCCTGAACTAGTAGCCTAAGTCATCCCAGTCCTCCTGTGCAGAGACCATGGTGAAGCAGGGCCCTCTCTGCCCAATCACCAGGCAGATCCCCAAACATCTGGAGCACCTGCTTGTTTGGATTAATAGCCTGAGCCACCATTCCCTTGCTGTGAAGAGACTGTGGTGCAGTGGGACCTTCTCCACTTCATGCCCAGGCAGATCTCCGTGCACCTGGAGTATCCACTCTCCTGGATTAGGAGTTTAGGCTACCCCCATTCCCCATGCTGAGAACTTGGGGGTAGGAAGGTTTTCCAATTCCATTTTTAGACTCACCTCTGGGCACATGGTGGCTGCCCACTGCATTCTTCTTTGGTGCTGGTGCTGATGCTTGTCACTGGGGACCTGTAGTTGGGCCTAACCGGTCCAGCTCCACCCATCCTGTCCCACACTAGAGCTGAGTGGGGAGATCAAACCATTGTGTACTCCATGTATTAGCTCATTGCCTGAGGCAACAAGAGCTTCTCCTAGTGAACAAGGGTCAAGTACATAACCAGTTGCATTGGCTGCAGCCAGCTCTTACCTGTAAGTGCCATCTACTGGCTTGTGGGTCAAACCACATGGCCCAATGTAAAACCTACCAACAAAAGTTAATAGGGCTAAAAGACCTTACCCAACATTCCATAGTAACACTGCCTAAGGAAGAGGGAAAAAACCCCAAAATACCCTAATAATGTAAGAAAAGAAATAGGAAAGAAAGAAGAAAGAAAGAAAGAAAAAAGAAAGAAAGAAAGAGAGAAAGAAAGAAAGAAACATGGATTCTATCAACATGAAAATAATTATAGAAATAAGAAATGCAGCCGGGTGTGGTGGCTTGCGCTTGTAATCCCAGCAGTTTAGGAGGCCAAGGCAGGTGAATCACTTGAGGTCAAGAGTTCAAGACCAGCCTGGCCAACATGGTGAAACCCCACCTCTATTAAAAATACAAAAATTAACTGGGTGTGATGGTGGGTGCCTGTAATCCCAGCTACTAAGGAGGCTGAGGCAGGAGAATCACTTGAACCCAGGAGGTGGATGTTGCAATGAGCCATGATAGCACCACTGCTCTCTAGCCTGGGTGACACAGTGAGACTCCATCTCAAAAAAAAAAAAAAAAAAATCCAGTGTGTCTAGATGTGAAGGAACCAGTATAAGAATTATGGCACCATAAAAAAATCTGAATGCAGTGACAGCACTAAAGAATATAACTAGCTCTCCAGCAATGGTCCCCGACCAAAGTGGAAACTCAGAAATGAAAAGGGGTAAAGAAAGGGAATGCGTATACCTACTGGTGGGAATGTAAATTAGTCTTAGCAATTGTGGAAAGCAGTGTGGCAATTCCTCAAAGAACTTAAAACAGAATTACTATTCAACTCAGCAATCTCATTAATGAGTACATACCCAAAGGAATATAAATCATTCTATCATAAAGATAGAATGCACATGTATGGTCATCACTGTACTATTCACAGTAGCAAACATATGGACTCAACCTAAATGTCCATCAACAATAGACTAGATAAAGAAAATGTGGTACATATATACCATGGACTGCTATGCAGCCATAAAAAAGAATAAAATAATGTCCTTTGCAGCAACGTGGTTGGAACTGGAGGTCACTATCCTAAGTGAACTAACACAGAAACAGAAAACCAAATACTGCATGTTTTCACTTCTAAGTGGGAGCTAAACATTGAGTACCTGTGGACACAAAGAAGGGAACAACAGACACTGAGGCCTACCTGAGGGTAAAGGGTGTGAGGAGGGTGAAGACTAAAAAACTATCAGACACTATGCTTATTACCTGGGTGACAAAATAATCTGTACACCAAACCCCCATGACATGCAACTTACCTGTACAACAAACCTGAATATGTACTTCTGAGCCTAAAAGTTAAAAAAATAAATAAATTAAAAGCATGGATTGCAAGGTGGCTCAACAAGATCCAAGACAAGTTTGAAAAGCAACACAAAGGAACATCTAAAGCAATCCAGGAAATGAAAAAAGAAATAAACGTATTAAAAAGAAATCAATCAGAGGTTCTGGAATTAAAGAACTCACTTAAGGAATGTGAACGTAAAACTAAATGATTTATTAATAGATGAGAACAAGCAAAAGAAGGAATTTCAGAGCTCAAAGAGCAGTCTTTGAACTAACCTACTCAGACAAAAATTTTAAAATGAATTAAAAAATAAACAGTCTTCTATAAATATGGGATTATGTAAAGTGACTAAACCTATAAATTGTTGGCATTTCTGAGAGAGAAGGAGAAAAAAAACTAAACAACCTGTTACATGTATTTAAGGTAATAATTCAAGAAAATTTCTCTCATCTTGCTAGAGAGGTAGATATCCAGATATAAGAAATCTAGAGAACATCTGTGAGACACTATACAAAAGGAACATCACCAAGGCATAGGGCCACTAAACTAAACTGTCAAAGGTCAACGCTAAGACAAAAATCTTAAAGACAGCTAGAGAAAAGGGTCATATCACATGCAAAGGGAGCCCTGCAAGGCTAACAGTACACTTTTCAGCAAAAACCTTACAAGCCAGGAGAGATTTGGGACTACATTCAGCATTCCTAAAGAAAAGAAATTCCAGCCAAGATTTTTATATTCTGCTAACCTAAGCTTCATAATTGAAGAAGAAAAAAAAATCTTTTCTGGACAAGAAAGCACTAAGGGAATTTGTTACTACTAGACCCACCTTATAAGAGATTCTTAAGGGAGTTCTAAACATGGAAATAAAGAACAATACCAGCTACCCTCCAAACACACTTAAATACATAGCTATGAAGCAACTACACAATAGAAACTAAATTACAAAGCAATCAGGTAACAACTTCATGATAGAAATAAAACCTCATGTATCAATATTAGCCTTTAATGAAAACAGCCTAAACACCCCACTTAAAAGGCACCAAGTGGCAAGTTGGATAAAAACACAAGACCCATACATCTCCTATCTTCAAGAGATCCATATCACATGTAACAACATCCACAGGCTCAAAGAAAAGGGTTAGAGAAAAATTTATCACTCAAACGATAAACAAAAATGAGCAGGGATTACTATTCTTATATCAGATAAAATATACTTTAAACCAGTAACAGTAAAAAAGGACAAAATAGGTCATTATATAATGATAAAGGGTTCAATTCAACAGAAAGACTTAACTACCTTAAATATATATGCACCCAACTTTGGGGCACCACAGTCATGTAACAAGTATTTCTATACATATGAAAAGATGTGGAAAGCTACCCAATAATAATGGGGGACTTCAACACACCACTGACAGCATTAGACAGGTCCTCAAGGCAGAAAATTAACAAACAAATTTTGGAGTTAAATTTGACACTTAACCAGTTGGACCTAACAAACACCTCCACTCATCAAACACAGAATATATATTATTCTCATCTGCACATGAAACAAACTCAAAGATCAACCACATGCTTGACCATAAAACAAGTCTCAGTTAAGTTTTTAAAAATTCAAAATTACATCAACCATACTCTGAGACCAAAGGTGAATAAAAATAGAAATCATTACCAAGAAGATCTCTGAAAATCACACAATGACAGAAATTAAGTAACTTGATCCTAAATGGCTTTCAGGTAAAAAATGAAATTAAGGCTGAAATCAAAACAGTCTTTGAAATAAATAAAAACAGAGATATAACATACTAAAATCTCTGGGATGCAGCAAAAGCAGTGTTAAGAGGAAATTTTATATTGCTAAATGTCTACATCAACAAATTAAAAAGATCTCAAAATAACAATCTAACATCACACGTAGAACTAGTAAAAACAAGAACTAATAAAAACCAAACTTAGCAGAAGAAAATAAATAACCAAAATGAGAGCAGAACTAAATGGAATTTAGACCAAAAATTCATACGAAGAATCAATGAAACCAAAAAGTTAGTTGTTTGGAAGGATAGACAAGATTGATAGAATGTTAATTATATTAACAAAGAAAGAGAGAAAATCCAAATAAGCACAATCAGAAAAGGCACAGGTCACATTACAACTGATCCTACAGAAATATAAAGGATACTCAGATACTATTATAAACATCTCTATGCAGAGAAGCTAGACAATCTAGAGGAAATTGATAAATTCCTGAAAACACACAACTTCTCAAGTTTGAATTAGGAAGAAATTTAAACAGACCAGTATTGAGTTCCAAAATTGAATCAGTAATTTAAAAAACATACCAACTAAAAAAAAAAAAAAAAAGAAAGAAAGAAGGAAAGAAAAAGGAAAAGAAAAAACCTTGGACCAGATGGATTTCCTCCAAATTCTACAAGATATACAAAGAGTTGGTACCAGCTCTACTGAAACTATTTCAAAAAATCGAGGAGGAGGTATTCCTCCCTATCATTCTACAAAGTCAGCATCATACTGATACCAAAAGGTGGCAAAGACACAATAACAACAAAAGAAACCTACAAGCAAATATTCTTGATGAACATAGATGCAAAAATCCTCTACAAAATACTTGTAAACCAAATCAAGCAGCACATCACAAAGTTAATTCAGCACAATCAAGTAGCCTTTAATCCTGGGATGAAAGGTTGGTTCAACATATAAAAATCAATGAATGTTATTCACCACATAAACAGGATTAAAAACTAAAACCATATGATCATTTCAATAGACACAGAAAAAGCTTCCAGTAAAATTCAACATCCTGTCATAATAAAGACCCTCAAGAAACTAGGCATCAGAAGAACATACCTCAAAATAATACAAGTCATGTATGACAAACTCATAGACAACATCATACAGAACAGGGAAGTTGTAAGTGAGACAGCCAGGTGGGAGGGGGCCCCTAGAGGAACTCTAACCAGCCTGCCCACTGGACTGGAACCTCAGAAAGTTTGCACCCTTTGCAATGCGGAGGAGCCCAGCCCCTCCTCTTCCTGTGCGGAACCTGAGATTCAAATAGCCAGGTGGGAAGTGCTCTAGCAGGGTACTCTGGCCGTGTGGAGGATCCGTGTCCTTTCCCCACCCGCCCCCCGGCCCTTTTCACCCAATAAAACCCTGCTTTACTCACCCTTTAAACTGTCTGTGAGCCTAAATTTTCATGGCTGTTGGACAGACAAGAGCCCCCACATTTTTACCTGAACTAAGGAAAAGTTATGCAACGTTTTTGCCGCAAATGAGGGGCTCCAGAAGTGGTGAGTGAAATGGGAACTCAAAACCTCTCACTGTGATTTCTAAGCCTTTTCAACCTCAGACGTCTGAACTTACAAGAAACTGCACCCCCACTCCTTGTCGCTTCTGGGGTTTGAACCCCCATCCCTCTCCACTCCTGGGGGTTGGGGGCCTTTTCATGGCCTTTTCCTTCCTTTCTCAGGAAGAACCAAGGAGCAACAGCTCTCAGCCCCTCCCACCTCCATGCTGGGGCTGGGACGCGGTGCCCAAGGGTCCCACACAGCCAGCAGGCTGGTTCCCAGCCATGCTGCAGCAGCTTTCCCCTTCCCCAGCCAAACGGTTTCAACTCCACGGGACAGTAATTAAACTTTTCTCCCCAGCGGAGGAACCACTTGCCTAAGAATAAGAGGTTCTTCCCCAGATATTTTTAAACTGTTTCTTTTCTTTCCCCTACTCTACCCCATCAACAAATTAACCTTTAAAGTTTTTTTGGTTTTGTTTAGCAACCCTGCCTTAGGGAATGGTTCTTTCTGGTTTGATATCTGCATGTGGCCCTATCTCTTAAAGGGCCCCATCCAGCGACTGACTTTTCTTCTGCTTGTCTGTGTGTGCTCTACGTATGATGTCTGTAAAAAGAGCTCCCTGGCCAGCATGGTGAAACCCCGTCTCTACTAAAAATACAAAAAATTAGCTGGGCATGGTGGCGTGCACCTGTAATCCCATCTACTCTGGAGGCTGAGGCAGGAGAATTGCTTGAACCCGGGAGGCAGAGGTTGCAGTGAGCTGAGATCACGCCACTGCACTTCAGCCTCAGCAACAGAGAAAGACTGTCTCAAAAAAAAAAAAAAAAGAAGAGCTCTAATTACTTTGGCGTAAAGAAAGACAAGTGCCTGGATCTAATAATTTTAAGAAATAAAAGCTATGGTACCTTCCAGTTCTGTGACTGTAATCTTTGAGAAATAAAAACAGCCCCAAGGACTATTGGTAAAATGCAGGCCGGATGCAAGGTTTGCTAAGTGTTTTGAGGTTACGAACTGCTTTTTGGGTTTTGAGAACTGTCTGTCTTGCCTGCTTCACAATTGGTAAGGCCTGGGGATATATGGAACTAACCATGCCCTTAACTAAGAAGGCAAACCTTGACTGTAGTTAGCACATAATTAAAGCTAATGTACCAAGTTTTACCTTAAAGTTAACAATTGCTAGGAGTTACCATTATAACATGTAATTGAGACTACTGAAAACAGATTTACATGCAAGGTGTATAAGAACAGTAAAATCGTGTGTGTGTGTGTGTGTGTGTGTGTGTGTGTGTATGTGTTTTGTAAAAGGTTATAAGAAGACATGGAAATGTAAACTTTGGCCTAGGGTTAAAGGATTATATTGAGTTAAATTAGGAAAAAGCTGAAGTTTCAAAGAAGTGGTGGAAAAATTTTGGAAATTAATCTTGCAGAAGAGGTTCTCAGTGTGAGCATATTGACTAAATTAAAAAAAGTATTACATGTTTTTTCTCAATATAAATTGAGCTTCAAAATAAAAGCATAACAAGGTTTTTCTAAGGTACTAATCTTCTCTTTGGCAAAATTTGTAAAGGGTTATCAAAGGCTTTTGCTTCTTTAAAATTTCTGAGTCATCATTTTGGCAAAATAAATAATTTATGGTAATCTGGATTTCTATTTCGTAATATCAAGTGTTTTAAATCTTGAACATTTAACAGCATTCCCCAAATCAAACTTCAGTTTCAAAATTGTCTTCCCTGGCACCTGGCTTTTCAAATACTTCGGAGAGCCACTGAAGTGTCCGGAAAAGAGAGGTAAGCAGGATTATTTCACAAGTTTAGGTACATGGGATTGCCAAAATTATGCTCAATCTTCTTTAGGTTATATTTTTGTGAATAATGCTAACATATGTCCCAAAATTGTATGGGATTTCTAAAATTTTAATGTATAAGTGTATGCTATCAATCATAATTAAGGTTGTTAAGTTATCGTAAACCACGGAGATAACCAAACTTTGTTGTCAATTGTGTTTTTGACTGTGACTACCCTGGACATTTTGCTATTCACAGATAATTATTGTCTTGTTTTAATCCTTTTCAAAAGATGGTTTATAATTGGCTATAAGATTTTAACAGGTGCTCTCAAATACAGACTTCCGATAACTTTGGATACTGTAACATTTTAATAAAGGAAAATGAGCAGGACTTGTGAAGAGCTGAAATGTTTACGAATATCAAGAAAAACAACAGTTAATTAAATAGACTGAACTCAGGAAGCTGAAGCAACCTTTTTGACTTTTGCTTGGAATATTGCTGATCCTTCTTTTTCAGAGTCAATGAAACTTTTGAACTATTTACAGCCTTTAATAATTAAGTAAGGTATACACTCCTGTAATCAAGATTTGGAGCATGTTTGTTTCTCTCTGCCTGGTTCCTCTAGAATTTGGAAACGATGAGTATTCTTATGGCAATATAGTTGTTTGCATTAGTGCAATAAGAATCCAGTTTTCGTTAGAATGGCGATCATTAAAAAGTCAGGAAACAACAGGTGCTGGAGAGGATGTGGAGAAATAGGAACACTTTTGCACTACTGGTGGGACTGTAAACTAGTTCAACCATTGTGGAAGTCAGTGTGGTGATTCCTCAGGGATCTAGAACTAGAAATACCATTTGACCCAGCCATCCCATTACTGGGTATATACCCAAAGGATTATAAATCATGCTGCTATAAAGACACATGCACATGTATGTTTATTGCAGCACTATTCACAATAGCAAAGACTTGGAACCAACCCAAATGTCCAACAATGATAGACTGGATTAAGAAAATATGGCACATATACACCATGGAATACTATGCGGCCATAAAAAATGATGATGAATTCATGTCCTCTATAGGGACATGGATGAAGCTGGAAACCATCATTCTCAGCAAACTATCACAAGGACAAAAAAACCAAACACCACATGTTCTCACTCATAGGTAGGAATTGAACAATGAGAACACATGGACACAGGAAGGGGAACATCACACACCGGGGCTTGTTGTGGGGTGGGTAGATGGGGGAGGGATAGCATTTGGAGATATACCTAATGTTAAATGACGAGTTACTGGGTTCAGCACACCAACATGGCACATGTATACATATGTAACTAACCTGCACGTTGTGCACATGTACCCTAAAACTTAAAGTATAATTGAAAAAGAAAAAAGAATCCAGTTTTCTTTTCCAACAGAACACAATTGGACAAAGTGGTTATTTTACCAAGGCTTTGACTGGAAGGGTATGCTTCCCTTTAAGGAGTCAATCCCGACTTGCAGAGCCAATAAAAGCCCAGTGGGAAAACTGGCCTCATACCCTTGCCTACACAGTCCCTATACAGGGTTCCTGACTGGTGGTCAGTAAAGAATGTCACTTTCTAACAGGTCCAAGAGCCCCAAGTTTATTTTGGGACTTTAAGATGAAAGGATTACCCAACTCACAGGTATTTGAGGATGCAAACCCATGGCTGGGCTCGGCTTTCAACGGTCTTATCTGAAATTCCTTGTGGAATAAACTGTCATCAAAGCCAATCCGAAAGGCCTATGTAGACATAATTATTCTTGTTGTACTTTCCATTTAGTCCTATGATGATTTTTTTTAAAAATGAGGACTGGAGAAAGAAAGTAATCATGTTTCAAAACTTATACATTTGTCATTAAATTCTAAACTCAGTCGTTGTTTTTAAGGTTTTGCCTACATTTTAGACTTGCCCTGCTTGCTCCTGTGAACCAACCAGCAATTCCTGGCTTCAGTTCAGAAAGAACAAGAGGGATGGGTAATGTAGAAATGTGGATCAATATTCTAGTTCTGAGAACAATTACCCTGCAAATCCTACCAGGTGATTGGAATAAATAGGGTGCCCATCACTCAGAGGTTTCCCTTTGGAAAACTAAGACCAAGGGAACTAACCAAGGCCAAGCACCATGCACCCAAATCTTAGCAAGCATAACTATAGCCACCAGTTATCTGAGTGCATCCCAAGACTTCCTCTTCTTTCCCTTGGAGAGAAAACTCAATTCCACAGTTTCACGTTAGCATTTGGCTTATGTTAAGGAGTCCATGCAATGCCCCCTGAGACACATTTTTGTACCAGACTCAATTCCAAGCTTCGAGTCAAAGCCCTAGGAGGGAAAACTGGATCTGAGGGATACAGAGGCAGACGATAATGGAAGTTGAAAGGCACGGTGCAGGTAAGTGTGGCTGATTCCTTTCGATTAAGCCAACCCCAAGCTTCCTGTTTCATGGATAAAGGCCACGTTAATATCCATGGCATAAATGAGGTCTAGGGAACTCCAAGGCTATTGACAGTAGGTGGGAAAGAGACATAGGTGAGAGCGGATAATTCCTGTTCTCTAGGCCCCCTGCTTCATGGGTGCAAGCTGCTTTGCTACTTACGGTGGCACCTGCCAAGGTCGCCGGAACTTGGGAATGCAAGAACAGAAGACAGAAAGAGGACTTTTTCCTCTCTCCCTCATGTGCCTCAGGTATCTGCTAGGAAGAGAAGGGAGCCAGGGATGCCTGTTTCCCTCTTTCTAGATGGGTAGCCATTCATCTTCAGTCTGTACCCCTTTCACATGCATCCAGAACCTCTGGGACTCCTTTAAAACATGCCTTCTTTTTTCCTTTCTTCTCCTTGGATTTCTCTTCACTAATAGGTAGTTGTGTCTCTGTACTATGAGGCACTCCCCTCAGATGCATCCTCCAAACTAGAAAGAGTTAATTTCCCAAACCTTAAACTGGTTGGCTTAGGATTGGGTTCAGAGAAAGCAATAAAAAATAAAGTATCTAGGAATACGTCTAACCAAGTAGGTGAAAGATCTCTACAAGGAAATCTACAAAACATCATTGAAAGAAATCATAGATAATACAAATGGAAAAACATTCCATGGATTGGAAGAATTAATATTATTAAAATGGCCATATTGCTCAGAGCAATCTACAGATTCAACACTATTCCTATCAAACTACCAATGTCGTTTTTCACAGAATTGGAAAATAACTATTCTAAAATTCACATGGAACCAGAAAAGACCCCAAATTCCCAAAGCAATCCAAAGCAAAAGGTAAAGCCGAGGTATCACATTACCTGACTTCAAACTGTGCTGTAAGGCTATAGTAACCAAAACAGCATGATACTGGTTCAAAAACAGACAGACTGATGCAACAGAATAGAAAATTCAGAAATAAAGCTGCACAGCTACAGTAATCTTATCTTCTACAAAGGCAACAAAAATTAACAATGGGGAAAAGTCCTCTTATTCAATAAATGGCACTGGGATAGCAGGCTAGTCATATGCAGAATAAAACTGGATTCCACTTTTCACCATACACATTAATTAACTCAGGATGGATTGAAGATTTAAATTTAAGATCTCAAATGATAATAATTATACTAAAAACCTAGGAAATACCCTTCTGATATTGGCCTTGTCAAATAATTGATGACTATGTCCTCAAAAACAATTGCAACCAAACCAAAAATTGACAAGCAGGACCTAATTAAACTGAAGAGTTTCTGCACAGCAAAAGACACTTCCAACAGAGTAAACAGACAACCCACAGAATGCAATGAAGTATTTGCAAACTATGCATCTGTCAAAGGTCTAATATTCAGAATCTACAAGGAACTTAAACAATTCAAAAAGCAAAAATCATTCCATTAAAAGGTGAGCAAAGAGCATAAACAGACACTTCTTAAAAGATGACATATACATGATCAACAAACATGAAAAAATTCTCAACATCCCTAATCATCAGAGAAATGCAGATCAAAACCACAACTGAGATACAATCTCACACCAGTCATCATGGCTATTACTAAAAAGTCAAAAAATAACAGATGCTGATGAGGCTGCAGGGAAAAGGGAATGTTTATACACTGTTGGCAGGAACGTAAATTAGTTCAGCCACTGTGGAAAGCAGTCTGAAGATTTCTTAAAGAACTAAAAACAGAACTACCATTTGACCTAGGAATGCTGTTACTGGGTAAATACCCAAAGGAAAATAAATCATTGTACCAAAGAGACACATGCTCTCATATGTTCATCACAGCACTCTTCACAATCATAAAGACATGGACTAAATCTAGATGTCCATCAATGGGGGATTGAAGAAAATGTGGTACATATATATCATGGAATACTGCACAGCCATAAAAAAATGAAATCATGTCTTTTGCAGCAACACGGATGAAGTTGGAGGCCATTATCTTAAGTGAATTAGCAGGAACAGTAAACCAAACACTGCATGTTCTCACTTGTAAGTGGGAGCTAAGCCTTGGGTACACATGGTCATAAAGATGGAAACAATATTAGGCACTGGAGACTACTAGAGAGGGGCGAGATGAAGCCTGCAAGGGTTGAAAAACTACCTATTGGGTACTATGCTCATTACCTGGGTAATGGAATCATCCATACTCCAAACCTCAGCATCACACAATATACTCATGTAATGAACCTGCACACATACCCCCTGAATCTAAAATAAATTTTGAAATTACTGAAGAAGAGAAACAAAAGGAGGAAATCTTATGGGAGTCAAAGACACTGTGGGTCTTGGTGCTGCCCCATGCCAATAAGGTGAACTGATAGATCAATCACAATGAGTATGAGTTGCCATACTGCTATTGCTCTTCAGAACTTAAAACATATGGCTGCTTCTGCACTTCTGTCTTCTCATGGAAAATATCTTTTGTGGCCAATGCTGCCGAGAACCACATGAGAAATATAGTTCCAGGCTGGCTGAATTGACACATAGAGAGCTAACAAAGTTGCATAACTAGTCTATATATATATGCTATTGCAGCATTCCTATCTTTTCTCCACATGAACTTTGGGTGACGTTTTCAGAGTGTAACAGATCGTATCGTTCATCAGTTTAAAACACATAAGGGGATTCCCTTTACTCTAAGTTTAAAGACAATCTCCCAACCTGGCCTTTTAAATCCTGTGTAGTTTGGCCTTTTCCTTCCTCTTCAGTCTCATCTTGTACCATGTTTCCCTCACCCTTTGAACTACAGCCGCAGTGCAGTTTTTTCCTTCCTTCAAAGTTACTGTATTCCTGCACGGTCTCTGCATGTGATATTCTCTCTGCTTGCACTGTTCTTTTTGTGTTTCATTGGATCAGTTCCTGCTCCCTTTAGCTTTGACCTTAATTTTAAATTATTTAAAGAATCTTCTGTTATTGCTCCTATTAAGTCAAATGTCTTTATTATGTGCTTCCATGGTGCCACATATTTCACATTCCTGGCCCTTATCAAAGCTTCATTTTTAATTTAGTTGTAGTTATTTAACTAATATCTGTCTCCTCTTAATGTTGTGTGCTCTAGGGCAAGGGTCAGCATTTTTTTTTCTTCAAAAGATAAGAAGTCAGTACTTTAGACTCTGTTGCAACTACTCAACCTTGTTGTAGTCCAAAAGCAGCCATACACAAAATGTAAATGAATGAGTGTGGTTGTGTTTTATCAAAACTTTATTTGTAAAAATAAGTAGTAGGCTATATTTGGCCCACAGCTCTGAAGTTTGCCAACCTCTAATCTGGAACATCAGGCAATGTTTATTTTGCTTACCATTATATTTTCAGTCCCTAGCACATTGCTTTATTCAATATATACCAATATATAGTTGCTGAATGAATAAATGAGTACCAATGAATGAATAAATGAGTAACAGTATATAGTTGCTGAATGAATAAATAAATTATATTTGTTTTCATACAGACTTTGGCCATTCTGTCTTCCACGGTATCCAAACCATTTACGCTACCAGGAATACCTTCTCCCAATCCAAATTGTATGTCACTTCTCAATACTCTTCTTGTTTACCACTTTTTTCATAAAACCATCTGTCATTACCCAAGTTTCCAGTATTGGGGTATTCCAAACTCTAACAGAAGTTATTTTCTGTACCAGTAATTTGACTGAATACACTTATATGACTGTACAGTTCAACAAGGCACTTTCCCAAAGTTTGGCATTTTGGACGAAAATGCCCTAAGTCCTGCTTATCTCTAGGCAGTGAGAGAGGAAAAAATAGTGAGACTCAAACAAAAAAAAAATGTTGACAAATTATTCTGTTGCATATATGTCAACAAAAATGCCCTACACTGCAACAGGTACTAGGGCTTGGGTAAGATGTGGTCCTCCAAATGCAGAGTTCAAGACAGGCTTCACTGAGGTGATGACATTTGAGGTAAATCTAAAGAAGTCAACGTATTACTTATATTTGGTTTAGTATAATATGAGGGACTTACTTTGTTTAGCCCACCCCAAATTTTCATTACAAAAATTTTAAAACATAAAGTTGAAAAAAATTAATTCGATGAACACCTGAGTAGTTACCATTTAGAGTCAACAATTTTTAACATTCTATATTTGCTTTATCTTCCCTCTGTACTTTTTTCTGACCCATAAGTTACAGACATCAACCATTCTCTCTTAATTCATGTGCAGTTACTAAAAGTAAGAACTTCTCTCACATAACCATAATATCATCAGCAATACTTCCCTACTTCATCTAATATTCAGGCCATAATCAAATTCCCCACTTATTACACAAACTGTCTTTTATAGCTCCATTTTTAAAAAGCTCATGATCCAATCCACTTGATTATTGAGTCTGACTCTTAAAAGAAAACATGGGAATTTTGGAATATGAAGTAGATAAAAAGTTCATAATAAAGAATAGCAGGTGAAAATTACAGGAGTTCTCTTGAGGGAATAGCAGACTAATATTTTGTGACCCAATAGCCAACAGAATTGGTGGGAAATGCCTTTGGAGGAGAATGACAAGCCAGATCATGAATGATCTTGAATATTAAGCAAAGGAGCTTTGAACTTATTTCTGTTGAGGTGGGTTTTACCATCCCATAATTTTTGACAATGTTGAGATTGAATACTGGACTGTAGAACAATCTCACTAGCATGATTCATTAGCTCTAGTCTCTTTTTACCTAACCCTTTTCACTGCAGCATCTTAGATGATCAGATTTTTAAAGCAGCCCTCTCCAACTATTAGTCTACAGCTGACCATATGCAGATCTTTTTCAAAGGATAGGAAATTTAGCTTATGATTAAAGGGACATCTGGGCACACTCTTCCAGCAAGGGACTGATTTACCTCCTCACAGATTACCCTGGCAGTCCTAGGCAGCTGATGACCACAGGGGAACTTGAGCCCTTTCTCTGCCTTCCGGAAGCCAGTCACAGGGACTTTATCACAGCTCTCTAGGGCCGAACCTATGTTGTGCTGGTTATTAATAAGAATAACCATTTGCCTTTTCTGATGTGAAAGTGGAAATTCTTGGAACCAGTTACAATTAGGTTGCTATTGATATGAAAACTACAGCAATTCAGCGTTTTTTTCAGCATTTTCTCCCTTTATTTATATAGTTGGAGACTCAAAGGCCAATAGAAGTTAAATTACTTCCATGGGGTTCACAGTCCTAGGCAGCATTGAATAACTGCCCTTCAATGGGCATGGCTATGTGCCAGTCACTGAACTCCACACTCTATTATAGAGTGTCTCTGGAGGGGTTATCTGATGAGCTCAGATAGCATCAGATATGCAGGAAATTCGTAGTGGCTTTATTTCTCTATACATGCTTTGACTTTTCTGATAGTCCCTCTACACCTTGGATAGCTGTGACAATGTACACGTGCCCATTGTTCTTTTAATATTTTCCAGTTCTAGTCATCTCTTTTCAGTTTAATCATTTAGTATATTCAAAAAACAACTTCTGATTACAATTATTTAGGGTAAAGCTTAACCTCTTTGACTTCCTCCTCTTCTCTCAAAGATGGCTTTTGGAGGTATTGGGGAATGGAAAAGTAAAGTAAAAGAAAAAATCCAACTTAATCCTCACTGTCTTAAGTTGGATTTCCCAGAAGCAGACCTTGAGATGAGGATTCTTTAAAGAAATGCTCCCAAGGAGGCTCTGGGAGAGAGTACACAGGGGAGTTCTAGGACACTGGTAATAGAAAAGTCCTGCAGCTTAATCTAGTTTTTTGTTATACTGGTGCATTCATCATGTGAAAATTCATCAAGTTGTTCACATCATCTGTAGATTTTTATGTATGCGTGCTTTTAAACACTTTTTCTCTTCACCTATACATTTTTTTCTGGCTACTTCTTGCATCAAATTACATGAATATAGAGCAACCCATTTTTTAAATAAAATTTTTAAATGCAATGTACTTAAGACACATTAAAAAAAATCCAGATGGTGATTTTATTTGTTCACTTATTTTTCAATGTAGAAAATCAGTCATGAATCAGATTATTTAATTACGGAGAATCAGTATATGAGAATTAAGTTGCAAAGAAAGTATAGGTGTATGTTTAGATCCTTAAATTGCTTAAGTAACATATATTCAAAAGTCTATTCAAGTCTATTAGATAACTGAATTGAAATACTATATTTTTAGATACAACCCTGTTGGTTTACTTTCGTTTATAAAGAAACCTAATTATCACATACCAAAAGATTCCCTAATAATAAAGTAACTTATTTGAATGCTTATTTATTTTTAATGTTATAAATATTTTTACTTCTTAAATACCATGTCGTCCTGAAAACCAGTGTAGTTTTATTGGGTCAAATATATTTAGAAATTATATTTTCTTTCTAGAATGAAGTTAAGAACTGGTTAGGAAAGTAAGAAGCAAACTGTGTTATTTTATGTATATTCAGTTAAATTTTTGCTACACAAATATGACTGACATCACATTTATAATTTTTTGATGAAAAACTATGCTCAACTAATAATCATCAGTAGCTCAATGTAAGTTCTATTTTATTGCAGTCAATAATAAAACTGACAATATGGAAAAGAGGATAAAAAGAATATTCTTGTTAAATTAATGAGAAAGCATGTTGATTATGATGTAGATCTTGAAAGGTTTTTTATCTACTGTGGCATATTTATATATTATTTAGCAATTATGGAAATTAAAATAAAGAAATAAATACTTAAATACATAAAGCAGTCAAGCAGGCTCACATTTCTTGGATTTTTATTAATTAAGGAAATACATGGTTAGGAAGAACTCTTAAGAAGAGTAGAGATGGGCCTGTTTTGGAGGAATATTTTCCATTAAGTAGTGCAAAGACTGAATAAAGGATAATTCCAGCAAACCCTATCTCTCCTGTCAGGTAGAAAATCAAGTACGAAAAGACTTATGCAGTAAAAATCCTCAGGACAGAAGAGATTTAGTATTGTTAGTTAGGATGGTACAATATTGTTTGTTTTTTTCTGAAGAGAGTGAATTTATTTTCAGTTTGATTCAATATAAAAGTCAATATTTCAATGAAACAAAACATCAGTTGTGGCAGGATACTTTTCGAAATGTTGTTTTATGCTGTATTTTATTTTATTTTTCCATATCTCATTTAAAGAAGCAAACTAGAACCTATTTTGTCTCTTTACTCAGATACTGTTTACAGACATTAAGCAGAAACTGCTTGAAAAAAGGTAGACACTTTCTATGTTTTTTAAAAGTGAAAGCCTACATGAACTGAGGAGGAGAGAAAGAATAAATTGGAGAATGGGGGAAGTGAGTGCCAGAGGATAAGGAGATTCCTGTACATTGGAAAACAGTTGAATTATTTGGGAATTTTGGTTTATAGTATTCTGTGGCAACGTCCCAGGAAGGTAACAAGATCTCTGAGAAAATTGCTCTGTGAAATGCATACAGGTACCTCATTGTGATGGTTAATTTTATATACCAACTTGATTGTTTTGAGATGCACAGAGAGCTGGTTACACATTATTTCTGAGTGTGTTTGTGAAGGAATATCAGGAAGACTAGCATTTGCATTGATAAAGTGAGTCATGAAGATTGCCCTCATCAATTTTGGTCGCATCACCTACACAGTTGAAGACTCAAATAGAACAAAAAGGCAGAGGAAGAAGGGCTAGTATGCTGTCTACTTGAGCTGAGACATCCATCTTCTGCCCTTGGACATGGTGCTCCTGGTTCTTGGACTTTCAGGCTTAGATTGAACTATGTTACTGGTTTTCCTGGACCTCCAGCTTGCAGACAGAAGATCATGGGACTTTTCAACCTCATGTGGGCCAATCCTTTGTAATAAATCTCTTTCTGAATCTCTTTTTAATGAATTTTTAAATAAATCTCTTTCTAAATATACTCGACAGTTTTTCTTTCTCTAGAGAATCCTAGCTCATGTGTTCATGCAGAGGAATTCCTACCTCAGCAAAGATCCATGTCCAAAGAGAAGTTGGACTGGAAGAAATCCCTATGAAATTGGACAATTAGCATAACAATGTCAGTATTAGTAGATGAAAATTGGAATTCACATTCTGATCTATTTTCGGGGATGGAGGAGGAGAGAAGGAAGACAGCAGAAGGGAAAAAGGTAGAACATGTAAATCTCAAGCCACCAGGGAGAGAAAGATCTCTTTTAGGACTGAAATTAAATGCCCTCTAAGTTCAATGAGATGGAAGCCGAAAGTTGAATTTGAATATACTAAATGCAAATAAAGTATTTTTAGAATATTTCTTGCACGACTGAGTTTGAGGACTGAGACTCTCTTCAATTTTAATATTAAGTTATTGAACTAGCCACAGTGAGGCAGAACACATACTGAAGAAGAGAATGAGATAGATAGATCAATGCAGGAAGGAAAAGATTCGAGAAGTCACTGAGTGGAAGCAAACTGTTTAAATATCATTTGTACAGGGCCTGTGCTTAATGTAAAATTTATTAATGGGGTGAAAAATTAGTAATCACAGAGTGAAAAATTTTTGTGACTGCACTAGAGATGGTTAGAAAAATATGGCCATTAATTTATTAAAAGTACAATATTAATAGTAACATGAAATGCATGAGACAGGATCAGCTGAACCTGATATTTCAAGTATAAAGTTGTTGTAGGTCATACCATACTATACACAAAATTTCTTTTACCATGTCTATTTAAGGGATTCCTCATTGATTTCTTAATGAGGTCAAGTTGGAAATAAATTTCACACTTTATTATATACAAATTAATATAAATAATATTTCCCTACCTGCATTATGGATTTAGTGATTCTTCTTCTGATTATTAAACAACTAAGAACATGAAAACTGTGAAACAGTACAAATGAGTAGAAATAATATTGCTTGTGATAGAGTATTTTAAAGATAGTGCCTTTTCTTCTGTCTCATTGGCCATTCCTTCCCAGTCTTCCTGACTTTTCTCTAACATGCCAGCATTCTCTCATCTTAGTGGTTTTGCGATGTCTTTTCCACATAACAGGAGTGTCTCCACCCAGATATTCATGTAGTGCTAATGCTTTCAGGTCCTTGGAGTCCCAGTTTAAATTTCACCTCAATGAAATTGACTACCTTGTTTTAAATTGAAATCCCTTCTGTTGCTTTTTCAATTCACTTGCCTCTTCTGTTCTTTGTTCCATAATACTAATTATCATCTGGCTTGCTATATAATTTATGTATTTTTTATGTCCACTTTCCATTTCTGCCTTCCTCCATTAAGAATGTAAGCTCCATGAGGACGGAATCCAGCACTTTGCATGCTTTCCCAGCTCCTGTTGGTGTACGTAGGCTAAGTCCTGTAGCTCAATGGGAGTTGTGGTTTCTTTCCTCCAAAATCAGACTTTATTTGTCAGGATCCTCCAGAGAAACAGAACCAATGGAGATATATTATAAGGAATTGATTAATATAATTATGATGGCTGAGAAGTCCCACAATCTGCTGTCTGCAAGCTGGAAATCCACAAATGCCAGTAGCCAATGGTGTAGTTCCAGCCCAAGTCCTAAGGTCTGAGGACCAGGAAAAGAAAGAGCATCACTTTATGTCCAGGTCCAAAGACCCGAGAACCGGTGAACCAATGGTGTAATTCCAGTCTGAGTCCAAAGGCCTGAGAGCCAGGAGTACTGATTCATCAGTTCCAATCTGAGGGTAGGAGAAGACCAATGTCCCAGCACAAGCAATCAGGCACAGAGAGAGCAAATTCTCTCTTCCTCCATCTTTTTGTTCTATTCAGACCCTCAGTGTATTGGATGATGCCATCACACTGGGGAGAGCAATCTGCTTTACTCAGTCTACCTACTCAAATACTAATCTCATCCAAAACACCTGCACAGACTCACCCAGAAATAATGTTTAGCCAAATATCTGGGCACTCAGTAATCCAGTCAAACTGACAGATAGCAGCCTATTTATATTGGCCTGGGGGCAGAGACTTGAGGAAGATTCTGTGGGGGCTGGAGGGGTGTTTTGTTGTCTTTCAAGGGAATATGTGGTTTACCAGATTTTCGGGTTCAGTAGCCTAGATAAATCCATCCTGTGTATCAAGTTCCGACCTCTCTTTTTTTTTTTTTTTTTTTCAGATGGAGTCTGGATCTGTAGCCCAGGATGAAGTGCAGTGGCAAGATCTCAGCTTACTCCACCTCCCAGGTTCACACCATTCTCCTGCCTCAGCCTCCTGAGTAGCTGGGACTACAAGGGCCTGCCATCATGCTCGGCTAATTTTTTGTGTTTTTAGTAGAGACAGGGTTTCACCGTGTTAGCCAGGATGGTCTCGATCTCCTGACCTCGTGATCTGCCTGCCTGGGCCTCCCAAAGTGCTGGGCTTACAGGTGTGAGCCACTGAGCCCGGCCTTCAAGTTCCCTTCTTTTACAACCATTACCGCAGGCCAGCCTAGCTCACAAGTTTGACAGTTTGGGAGTTCTGCTATTTTTATGTTTAAGTTTTGGGTCTCATCCTCAGCTTTCTCTACCCACCACTTATGGGAGATAACAGCTTCTTTATATGCTACAAAGAAAGAATTGTAGCTTTCACACATTCAGTCCTTTGTTGTATTTTCCAAAGGTTAATTAAGCTTGGCAAGGGGCATCCAATTTGACAATCTTTATGGTTATCATTTATCCTGTATTTAATCAAATGCTTGACATATTACACAAGCTAGTGAATTTGTGTCCACTGGTTTACCATCTCAGTTTACCCCTGATGAAAACTTGAATAATCATATGGCTATCTTGGCTACCTATGCCAAGTACTATCTGAGCTTCACCTACTATACTGATGGGATCCTCACTGTTAGTAGGGTGGTACATAATTCAGCTTCAAAATTCCACCATTATGTCTGTTTTCTTTAACCACGTCAAGGGTCAACTCTTATAGGATAGGGGTTGGAGAGACCCTTGCAACCAGGCCGAGATGAAAATTAGCATGCTGTTTTATTAGCAAGTGCATTCAGAGTCATAAGGGAAGGGAGAGAAGAGGAAGAAAGGGAAGGAAAGAGGAAGACGAGGGAAGGGAAGGAAGTAGTCTCAGACTGAGGGAGTAATTAGGCTGCATGCAGTCTCAAAACCTTAGTCAATCTCACAGAGTTTTAAATTTAGAATAACACTTGTGAATATCACAAGTTGGGTGAGGGAGCCAGGAATTTATACCCCTTTGTTAGTCAGTCATTAGAAATGGGCTACCCAATGAAGGGGACATGACCTCAGGTGACTCTTTAGCCAAGACAATTGTAAATCAGACTGGTGGCTGGGAGCTGTTCGCTGACTGCACTCCGAGCAACGAAGGAATGAATCCTTGAGTCTTGAAGAGAAATCTGCATGGCGCATCTGAGTGTCCAGTGCAAATACCTTCCATGTCAGTTGCTATGAAATAGATAGGATCAACAGATATTGTCCAAACAATACTGGGTGATATTACAGTCATGTTTTATTTGCTTAACGTCTTGCTGTTGAATAAGTGAATAACTCACATATATGCTTTTAGGAATTCAATATTTGGTTATATCCAGTCGGCATGCTGGTCCAAGACAGATCAATACATCCAATATAAAAATGAAAACTTGCAACTAGTGCATAGCTTGAGGACAGTATCTATGTATAGAAACACAATGTGTTCAATTTGGCCAAAGCAAATTTGTAAGACTTTTAGAGATTGCACACTTACTGTGTCCAAAAAACCCCTGAAAGACTGAACTGTAAAAGTAGTATCTATTTTATGGCAATAAGGTATACTATTCTTAGATAACAGGAATCAGTTAAATTGAATTTGAGTTTTTCTAGCACCTAGAAATTACTTCATAATTCTATTATCACTAAGTGCAGTAAACAGCAGGGTGTAGAGGATGTCTAAAATTTAATTGGAGAGCTCTATTAAGAGATAAAGAAGACATAAGCCAGGAAACAGACATTGATTATAGTCCAGAAAATTGAGCTTAAGAGGGGGTTAAGTAAATTAGAATAATAAACTTAATACGTTCTACTAGTTCTATGATATGTCAATTGTACTGTAAGAAAACTGTTCTGTAGTCAGGAAAATTTACATTTCACTAAGTTAAGTAAAATTAATTATTACCATTAACTATAAGGACAAATTTAAATTTCAGGACTGAAGGATTCACTCCTTATAGTTAAGTAAAATTATTACTATTAAGTAAATAACTATTGCTACTTACATAGTACTTAATAGCAATACTTAATTTTACTTAACTATAAGGACAGATTTTCTTAACTATAGGTACTTGCCAGACTCAAATATTTTAAAATACTCTGTTAGCACAAGGCTTTTAAGAAGCAGATGTCAAGATGGGATTAGATGTACAAGAGATAATTTTCGTATTTAAAAAAAAAAAACCCCATGAAGTCTAAAGGGGATGGTAGCAGGAAAATGCAGGAAGAGCCTTTCTATCATGGTGGAGTTACGACACCCATGAAAGGTGAGATGGAAGGAAGGAGGATTGGGTAGAAGAGCTTCAGAGAAAGTGTCGTCCAGACAATGCGGAGACCCTGGAACAAAGCTGTCAGTCAGAGGAGTCCTGCATGGCGGGTAATAGTCTGGCTCTAGTACTCTTGCTGTGTCCAATCACAGGCTGAGCATAGCCCTGGAGGATGTGTGGGCTTTGGTATCAAGGCCTTAATGGATCTGAAGTTGCAGTAGCTGGAGTCTGTCTACTGCCTTTGTTGTCGCAGTTTCTCTTAAAAGGAAATCTGACTGGCCACAATTTCATGACTACCTACATATGGTAATATGCTAATACACTATGAATTTAAAGGAGAGGGATACAGAAAGCTCTCTCCAAAATTATTTTTGGCAACATAGCCCTTATAAATGAGTGCTCTGTGACTTGGACATCTGGTGTGAAGAAGATAAAATTGTTTTATTTCTATTTAGAATAACATATAACAAAATTTACTAGTCAGGTTTTTTACTAGCAACAGAATAAAATAAAAATAGATGATGTCACCGAAGTAAAAATATATATTGTGAATTAGCAATATCATCTGACATACTGTGTGTTCAAAGGGTAAAAAAAATTACTTATCAAATACACTTCAGAATTTCAAATCCCATATTAGATGAATACGTCTTTCTCCACAAAACTCTTTTTCTCCCTAAATTTTCAAATGTGTCACTTTCTTTTGGATCTCCCCTCATATTTCTCACTTAAAAAAATAGCGGATGGTTCACTTTTATTACTACCGAGTTTGTGCTTACAGTTAAAACAGTTTATGCATTTCAGTTCTTAAGAGAGCCTTATGTATAGAAAATCTTTATAAAAAACAATAGTAAGGTATACCTTTACAGATGGATGTTTGGAAAAGATCTAAGTACTTGCACTACAAATCTTTGATTCCCTAGTATGTCATTGTGGCCGTTCATATTTCGCGCTGTGAGGTGTATAGTTAGCTGACAGCCTCCCTCATACCCTCACCCTAACCCCCGATCTTGTGCTGAATGCAACCCATTCTTCTAGCAAGATGCTTTGTGTCAGGGAATCCCTATCCATTTGGCCAAAGTTTCTTAAAACAGAGCTCTAGTCTGAAACTCTTTCTGCTCAATCCTGCTTTCCCCCTTTCTCTTCCAAAGGCATTTCCCTTAACAAATGTCTTGTATGTTGAATCCCAAATTGCTATCTGCTTCTCAAGAGGATGCAAAATAATAGTCACTTATATGTAAATATTCTCTAGTATTTTATATTTCATTGTCTTCTTTTCTAATTCTGTTCTTTTGTTACTTTACCATTATTTCATTAGAAAAAAAATCCCAAACCTACTGCATAAGATCTTTGGGAGCAAATTCTGTCTCTGTCTCCACCTGTTAACTAGGCTTAAGAAGAGCCAGAGGTAATACTTCAGTGGCTCAGGGGAGCTCTCTGAATTGTGCCTCCATTCTGGACCCCACACCATTGACACAGCATCCTTGTACCTGGATTCATCCTCTCTGTTGTGCCCTTTCGGAATGATATCTAGGTTGGACTACATGCTTAGATTTTGGGGTTTTTTTCCCTGGCTTTTTTTTTTTTTCATTTCTAGGCATAGTCTCTTCAATAGCTCACAGTTCTCTACTCTCAAGTTGCTGGTCCAGACTTGTTTTTCATTTCCAATCAGTTATCATTTGTCAATATCTGTATATTCATTATTTGATTTTCTCTTATCTGTTCCCACAACTACTGCCTTAGGTTCAGCCTTCATCATGACTCACCTGCACCATTGTAAAAGCCTCCTTGTTTGTCAAAAGGCCTGCATTCATTTCCCTTCATCTGTTCTTCACTTTTCTGTGAGACTATTTCTTTTCTAAACAAAACTAATCATTTACTTCCAGGCTTAAAATCATCTGCTGGCTCTCCTTTGCCTAGTTACATGATCCAAACTCTTTGTTATGGTATCTGAACTTTTTGACCAATCTTTCATCGTTTCTTTCTGCTTTATTATTTACCACTCTTCCAGTCACTTTATGCTTTAATATAACAGAACTATGTCCAGCTCCTAGAACATGACATGCTCTGTCACGCCATTGCATTTCTGTGCATGCTGTTCCTTAAGTTTAGAATTCTTTTTTTCCTTCTTATGTTCCCCCAAAACTATTCAGAATTCAGGGGTCAATTAAACATCATCACCATTTTGAAACATTTTTTACTTTCTCTCCTAGCCATAAACTTTGTAACCACCTTTTTCTGTCTTGTAACCGCCTTTCTTTCTCCTATTCATAAACTTCGTAACCACTTTCCTCTCTCTAGGCCGCCATAGTTAGACATTTGTGCAGTATCCTGTTCTTGCCTCTATTGGAGCCTCTACATAGAGCCCACCATAATGTACATTCATTTACTTGTCTGCTTCTTTTACTAATCTGTGAGTTTCTTGAGGGTACAAGCAAGACTTATTCATTTTGGTCCCCAAAATGGCAAGGACTTTGCAAATAGAAGACGGTTAAAAGCGCTGAGTAAACTATACCTTCTGTAATAGTCCATTCTCATGTAGCTATGAAGAAATACCTGAGACTGGATAAGTTATAAACAAAAGAGGTTTAATTGACTCATAGTTCCACATGGCTGGCGAGGCCTAGGGAAATTACAATCATGGCTGAAGGCACCTCTTCACAGGGCAAAAGGAAAGAGAATGAGTGCCAACAACGCAATGTCAGACAGTTATGAAACCATCAGATCTTCTGAGAACTCGCCCACTACCACTCGCCACTACTATCTTCTGAGAACCGCATGGGGAAAACCACCCCCATAATTTAATTTCCTCTATCTTGTCCTGCCCTTGACACATGGGGATTATTACAATTCAAGGTGAGATTTGGGTGGGGACACAGCCAAACTATATCATCTTCTCTTGTATGGTTATGTCAAAGAAGACAACGATTTTCACTCAAGAAAGTTGAGGGCCCAAGATGAGAAAAAAAGCACAATGCTTACCAATGAGTCTTAATTTATAAAAAGGAAAAATCTAACAAAAGAATAAACAGTTAAAAAAAGAAAATTATAGACATTGCCTTTTTATGAATGCTTTAATCAAGTTACAGAAAGCTCCTGTGGAATAATGCATATAAGATTTTTTAACCTCATTTTTCTATAAAGTAGTAAAGGATTCCTGTTTATTCTTAAATAATCAGAAACATAAAGGATGTGGCTTGTTTTGAAGCATGAACATTTGCATGGTTTTGTCAAAAGGTCTAGGTTTGGCAGGCAATCTCCATAATAAATTTTCCACAAGCAGTTATGGGTCTGCTCTTAGCAAGCCAAATAATAACTACTCAGGAAGGACTAGATTTACAGTGGACCTTAAAAGGGAAAAGTGAGCACATCCATTGTACTCTGAAGATTCATTGAATACAAATAGAAGAAAGATATATTAGGAAATCAACTTTAGTGACATTTCAGAATTTGCAAGTCAAAAACTAAGATTCCTTAGTAGATAGAATAAAGGAAGGGGAACACAGATACATACAGTAGTGTTAGCATTAAAGGATTGTCGGACTATGGTCTCTGTATTCATAGGGAGCCCACAGGTGCTCCAGAGAGTCAGGGTTGAAGCAAGCATTGCCTTTCATTTTTTTTCATGGGCAGGAAGAGACTCCAGATTCTACTCATAATAAAAATTCTTTCTTAGTTTATTTTCTCCTTAATTGAAATGAAATTCACATAATATAAAATTAACCATTTTAAAGTGAACAATGCAGTGGCATTTAGTACATTCACAATGTTCCATAAGCCTTACTTAAAGCCAAAATATTCGTGTTACCCAAAACGGAAACCCCATGCCCTTTAGGAAGTTCCCCTAGGCTTTCCTTCCTTCAGTCCTTGGCAACCACTGATTTCTGTTCCATCTCTATACATTTACATATTCTGGATGTTTCTGATAAATAGAGTCATATAATATGTTGACCTTTGTGTCTGGCATTTTTTTTTTCACTTAGCGTAATGTTTTTGAAGTTCATCTATGTTGTAGCCTGTATGAGTATTTTATTACTTTTTATGGTTGAATACTCTTCTATTGCAAGCGTATACCACAATTTGTTTGTCTATTCATCTGTTGATGAACAGTCGGGCTGTTTCCACTTTTTGGTTATCCTGAAGCATGCTGCTTTGAACATGCATTTTCATATCCTTTTAAGGTTCTTAATCACTATTGCTCATTCATTCACTCACACAATACACATTTATTAGACTAATTATGAGTTGAATTGTATTTTACACCCAAAGAATAAGATGAAGGATAAGATATGGTTTCTGTGGTTTAGAAACTCACCATCTAGTGGTGGGAAGGGCCATGAAAGCCAACACGTTTCAATACCATTTGTCACTCCTATAATAGAAAAATAAATGATGCTCAGGGAGCCATAGAATACAGAAGGGATTGTTTTCAGCTTACTGTCTTTGTACTTCTCCATTTTGATTCCTCCTTTTATTGCCACTTTCATAGAAATGTCATCAGGTTTTTAATCTCTGAAATATAGACAATTATCTTTCATTTTTGATGAGCATGTTCTATTAGTACATTAGTGTTTGCTTTCTATTCTAAGTACTAGAAGCTAATGTATTTGTTTTGTGAAAATAATAAAGAAGTTTATGGCAATAAGGGCCTTGTGGACTACTTTTAGTCAAAATGTCAACAGGAAACAGAAGGTACCCTTGAAGATAATTTAATAAAATGACAGTTTACAGAGGTCTGGGCAGGATTAAGGGAAACAAAAAGAGATATGAAGTACCCAGGAACTAACAAAACAAAAGGAAACTATTATCACTCAAGGAGGAAATGTGAAGAAAATAATTTACCAGGACCTACTGAGAGTCAGAGCCATGGGAGGTCAGCATCCTAAGAGGAATTCCAGTGTTAAAGGGTTGTAGTTTCAGGCAGAACCAAAGAGCTGAGGCAGAGGAATCAGAGAAAGACATTTTTCAACCTCTCGCTTATTGAACTTTTGAGGACATTTACCAATCTCTTATGAGTGCCTCCTATTGGTCAACTCTAGTCAGAATCCAGAAGTCATGAGGGCCTGGATAATGCTAAAGGTATAGCAGTATGCTGGTGGGGGTGAGGAGAGGGTTGCAAAAATGGATGGGAGCAGGAGTGGAAGAACAACCATCACAAAACACCCTAGCAAGAAGCAGCGGAAGCTGGTCTGTTACTGCTCAAATCCATCAGTGGTCTTCCTGCCAAAACAAAGACATATGGCTCTAAGAGACTAGCCAAATTAGTTACTGAGGAAAAGACAATAAATGTAGAACTGAGAGGTAAATTGAGGGCATAATTACGTAAACAACAGCAACGGCAGTGGCAGGAAATTTAGGCAACATTGGAGCAATTGCAAAGGACAGGAGGATCCAGTAATTAAGGGCCTAGCCAGAAATTAGGAACATATATGTCATAGCCTGTTGTATTCTGTAGAAGTTGGGAGGACTTTACAATAAATGCCAGGATGGTCAGGAGATCAAGAACTTTGACAAATATTTGTGACATCACTAGATAAATCCTTAAACAGGTTAAAGGAGACTGCTTTGTTTGGAAGCCAGTAATCTTCCCCTATGCAAAATTACTGTAACTGGGAAGGATCATGTGAAGCTCCCTGTTTATGTTCTCTAGGTGGAGAATAGAGGGAGGAAGACAATCATGGGGGAGGTCATCCATCAGGTTGACCTGATAGAATTGGTTTTCTTGAAAAGGCTATAGAGGAGTTCAGAGCAGAGCTAGGGCTATTTAATATTTCCAATATGTTTATATGTATGTGCACTATCTTAGGAAAAATAAAGTATAATTACCTTAATTTCAATATGTATCTGTTAGATATTTCAACTCAAATTTCTCTCTATGATTAATTCTAAAAACAAAACAAAAATAAAAACATAATAGAACCTAAGGTTACTAAAGACTTAAAGAAAGAAAAATATCAATTTTTCTCCCTTTGAGCAGATCTTTTAGTTTGTTGTTTGTTTGTTTTAAAGCATACAGTAGTTTCAGAAAGCATTCCCTGCTTGGAAACTGAATAGATGAGCCTTAAGCAATTTGGAAAAAGAGGTGAGCTACCCCCTGACACTAGTTTCAATAGGTTGTCTTGCTTTCTCCAATCAACTTGCTGTTCCCAGAGATATTCACATATATTTATAGTTCCTCATTCAGACAAATCAACCATCAATATTTGGAACCTAATATATCTTCATTAAATGCAAAGGTTTTGAATCATTTAGGCAAAGATTAAAACATTATCAGATTAGGGATAAAATAACACTAGCCAAAAAGAATTTTCTAATTATATTTATTGGTTTTACTTAATTTGACAAGAATGTTTGCCAACAATAGGTTAACACTAACAATGATGATACATTTATAAATAGCCTGGCAAATAAAAAAAAGAACAAAGTCCTGTCATTCATGGCAACATGGATGGCACTGAAGGACATTATGTTAAGTAAAATAAGCAAGAAACAAAGTTGAACACCACATGTTCTCACTCATACGTGAAAGCTAAAAAAAATTGATCTCGTGGAAGGTCTAGTGTTCTACAGTAATCTAGAATGACTACAGTTAACAGTAATATAGGCTACAGTTTCAAATTGCTTAAAGTATATTAAATGTCCTCAGCACAAAGAAACAATATATGTTTGAGATGATGGATATACTAATTACCCTGATCTGATAATTATAAGTTATATGTATCAAAACTATGTACCCCATACATATACACAATTATTATATATTAATTAAAAATAATTTTAAAATAAAGTTAATAAAAAAAGTTCTTAAATCTTGGAACACTTAGCACTTCATAAACATTTGCTCAATACTGAGTCAATGAATTTCCAATTAGATTTTAAAATAACTAATTAACTAAATAAATAGCATGGCAAAATATTTTCAAAGTTTTTCATGCTTTGATCTCCCTCTCTCTTTTCTTTTCACTCTAATTGAGCAAACTTATTCAAAGACATATCTATTTACGAGTTATCCTAATAGTATATTTTAAATAGAACAACTGAGTATTCATAACATTTGAACAATATACATAGATCTTAATAGTTTTCAAAATGTTTCAATAACCACAGAAAATTATACAATTTTGTTGATTTAATTTTAACTCACATATTCAATACCTTACAGAGATTTTGAGGTAAAGTTTTCTGTATAGTTATTTGCTTGAATATTGCATACAAATATGCATGCATGAATCTATGTTACATGGTTTAAAAATGTGTAGAAGCTGATTGCCAACATTTGAAATATTTGCTTCCTAGAGTTGTGTATTATAATTGCCAAACTTATTCTATCAATGAAATAAAATACCAATGAAATAAAATATCAATGAAATAAAAATACCAACTAAAATTAAAAGAAAAGTTGTTGACTATTTATTTAAATTCTTTAGCCTAAGATTGACAAAATTCTGTTTGGTTAGATGAGCTCTAACATCTTTAAATCTAACATTCTAAATTTTCTGATTCATGATAAATAACATGAACCTTGAGTATTTTAAGTAAGGCTCTTCATCTGGGACTGAAAACTTTTGAACAGTTATGAAACCAGGGTTCATTGTGTTTTCCCTTCACATCAGTTATCACAGTTATTATTACAGTCATAAGGGCAAATAATATACTTGTATTACTTATTAGTTTCCACAGTACAAAGAACCATGCCTGTCACAAAGCAAGTACCCAAAAAGTATTTATATGAAATGCATGAATCAATAAATCAATGACTGAAAAAACCTTCTTCCTCCTGTGGAGAGAAGAACTCTTGGATTTAGAAGAGGCAGCCTGGGTCCTAAATACCCTGCCCCCATCCCTGGAGTGCGCATATGTTTCCAGAGTCTTCTGTTAGCTTGATCCAGATCTGTTGGTGTCACTTTTGGATACTGGAAGGGTCCCAAGGAGATTGCCTACATCATTTAAGGCTCGTCATGGCAGAGTAATGAAATTTGCATCTATTCACAGAATAGAGTTGTCATGTATTAATATCTGCTTATTAGTAACCAGTGCTAAGCTGACTGCCATTTCAAATGGGTCCTCCCAATATTTTGAACCATTTAATTTTTCCCCAACAATCATTGGATTTATACTGGCAGTCTCTGAAGTTGCCAGTCTGGCTGTAAGCTCTTTTGATCTAAGTTTCCTGATTTATCTACCAGGCTCTGGGAGACAGTTTTTGCTATCCTGACAATCATCATGAACAAATAACTCTAACCTTAATCTTCTTAAAATAAAGTTCCTTCTTATCTGCAGCTATAAGCTAAGATCTTCTATAAAGACTTGGCTGAAAATAACCAACCCTGTGCATATGGCTTGAATGTTGACTCTCTGAATACCTGAACTCTCTGTGACCCTCTCAAGTAACTTCAGTACGGTTTGGCTGCTGCTGTAGACACCAGATGGTCAGGAAGCCCATCTCTTTTATAAATGGATACTTAATAAATGCACATGTATTTTATTATTACTTTTAACCGCCATAAAATTTTTCTTGGACAGAAAGATTTCAGAAACATCCTATGCAATATTTTCTTATTCAAGCTCTACAGAAAAAATATCATATCTTGAATTAGATTCTTTGAATGAAAGGCAAGTGTAAAAAGCAACAAACATATATTGAACATATATTCTCTGTTGGGCTCCATGCTAGACATTTCACATGCTTTATAGCAAGAAAACCTTACTATTTAGATGATAACATCATATTGATTCATTATATTTTTAGCCATACTAATTTAAATGAACTATTTCTCTTGTATATAGCCCATAATTCTAGAGAGAATATTAAAAAACTAGGTAATATTGCTGTTACTGATGGATTTAACTATTCCTTGAAGAGAACAACTAATGAATCACAGAGTGTTCTCTCTCATATATAAGACTAGTGGTCTACCCCCAAAGGGTTAACCCACTTGGATCTGTTTATTCAATATCATCATTGATGTTTGGTGATCTTCTACTTGGTTCACATTTTCTTATTCCTTGTGATGTATTTTCAATACAAACATTACTACTGTTTGGTCATATTACTCCTTTCTGAGATTCAGTTTAATAGTCTGCCAAATGAAAGCATTATCAGTATCATTATGTTGAGAATTCTGAAGGCAAATATGAATTCATCATTAAAAAATTTTGGGACTGATTCAGTGTTTTGTTACTTAAATAAGATTGGGGAGTCATGTCATGTATGCTAGGTACCTACAATCTAGGTGAGAGACGATTGTAGAAAATCAATCTTGGGCTATTTTAAGATTTGCTCTGAAGTCAGCCTGGCACTCAAAGAAATATGTATATTATTTCTCTTCTTCACTTTCCTCTGAAAGAAAACTGGTATGGTTTGAATATGTCCTCCAAAATTTATGTGTTGAAAGCTTAATCCTCAATATGACAATGTTGACAGATGATATCTTTAAGAGATGATTAAGTTATGATAGCTTTGCCCTCATGAATTGATTAATGCTATTCTTTTGGGAGTGGGTTTCTTATGACCGGAATGAGTTTTTAATAAGAGTGGGTTCAGCCCCCTTCACTTCCTTCCCATCTCTCATGTATGTTCTCTTGCTCTTCTGCCTTCCACCATTGGAAGCCACAGCAAGAAGGACCTCACAAGATGCAGTTCCTTCAGCCTTGGACTTCCCAGCCTCCAGAAGTGTGAAAAATGAATCTATGTTCTTTAAAAATCACCCAGTGTGATGTATTCTCTTATAGCAACATAAAATGGACTGCAGCAGAAAGCTGGTAGCAAGAAGTGGGCTATGAGCAATATCTATAATAAATACCTTAAAATGTGGAAGTGGCTCTGGAGCTGGGTAATGGGTAGAGGCTGGATGAATTTGGAGGATCAGGCTAGAAAAAGCCTTGATTGCCATGAATATAGAGTTAACGGTGATTCTGATGATGGGTCAGAAGAAGAGAAAAAACGTAGGGAAAGCATGGGAATTCTTAGAGATTACTTAAGTGATCAAGATTGGAATGTTGGTAGAAATGTGGGCAGTAAAGGCTATTGTAATGAGGTTTCATGTGGAACTGAAGAATAATGTACTGAACACTGGAGTGAATACCATTCCTGTTATACGGTTGTAAAATGCTTGGCTGAATTGTGTTCATGCCCTACAGCATTATGAAAGGCAAAACTTATGAGCTGTAAACAAGGATCTCTGGCAGAAGAAACATCTAAGCAGCAAAGCATTCAAGGTGCTGCATAGGTTCTTTTGGCTGCTTATAGTGAAATGAGAGAAGAGAGAAATGATTTAAAGATGAAATTTATAATTAAAATGCAAGTAGAATGAGAAGATTTGGAAAACTCGCTTTGGCCATGTAAAGAAAAAAAAACCGCATATTCAAGAGAATACTAAATGTGTGGCCAAGCATCTCTTTATTAAAGAGATCAGTGTAGGTTCTATTCATCAAGACAATGAGAGAATGTCCCTAAAGTCATTTCAGAGATCTTCAAGGCAAGTTAGAATGTTGAGGGAAAGGTTTCCAGAAAGGCTGAAGACTTTACCATTCACTATCAACTGTCTGCTTCCCAAACTCCAGGGTAGTGCTCCTCAGCCACTCCAGCTAGGGCTTAAGCCAGCTCTGGTACAACTCTAGCCACTGCTCTAAAGGGTAAAAGTGGTAAACCTTGGGGACTTCCATGTGGCGCTAACTCTGTAGGCTCATGGAGTGCAAGAGCAGTGTTAGCATGGCTTTCTCCACCTGGATTTTAAAGAATGTAGGAGACAGCTTCAAGCTTCAGGCAAAAACTTGTCACAGGGGAGTAGTTGCCACAGATAGTTTCCACTAGAGCAATACACAGAGGACCGTGGGTATAGAACCACCACAGAGAGCCCCACACTACTAGGGCAATGCCCATTAAAAACTGAGGAATCAGGAACACCCTACCTGCAGCCTGGGAAAGCTACAGATATGAGAGTCCAACCCATGAGAGCTGCTTGGTGGGCTGAGCCCAGCAAAATTATAACAGTGAGGCTGCTTAAGTTTTGGGGGTCCAACACCCACTCCAGTTTGTCCAGGATGCAGGAAATAAAGTCAATAAAAATTATTGTAGAGATTTAAATTTAATGTTATTCACCTTGTTGGGTTTTGAACTTACTCGAGAATAGTTACATCTTTCTTCTGGCCTATTTCTCCATTTTAGAATGGGAATGTCTATATTATGCCTATCCCATCACCGAATTTTGAAAGTAGATAACTTATTAATTTCACAGGTTCATAGGTTGAGAATAATTTGCTTTCAGATGAATTGTGCCTTGAATCTCCTTCCCCATATCTGATTCAGAAGAGACTCTGGACTTTGGATTTTTGTGTTAGTGCTACAGAAAGTTGAGACTTTGGAGGAAGGAGGCAAGACAGCTGACTAGAGGCAGCCAGGAGGAATATTTGCCACTGAGGGACCAGGACATTGGGAAGACTGGCACACTTCTAGCAGTTCTTCAGAGGGAAGATATTGAGAGAAGATAGAAGAGAGAAGACATACATGTTGGGCTGAAGGGATAGGAAGCTGGGAACCCTGCATGGGGCTACCACACACTGGGACCCATTCCTGGCCCGCAGTGGCTCCTGGGGAAAGGATGAGATGAACAGTCAAGGATCAACCCACTCTCACCATCGGCCTCTGGAATCCTGGCAAGAGGAGACCCCTTAGCCACTACAGACACCTGAGTTGGCAGGGAGATCTGCTTAGAGAAGTGGTAGGGGTAGAGTGCTAGCCAGTGTGGAACCCAGAGGGTTTGCTGCAGAAGCATCTGTAATGGAGCACAGCCAGGGACACCCATCCCCCTAGGCTCTACTTGCTCGCGTGGGAGGCATTAGCCTTAGGGTAACTGTCAGACCTGAACTTTGCAGGGTAGTCTTGCCCATGAGACAGGGCCTGTCTGAACTGAGCCTCATGAGTCTGCTGCAAACCAATCCCAAAACTAGTAGAAGTCAAAAAATAATATCAGAGCTAAAATGAAGGAGAATGAGACACGGAAAAGCATTCAAAAGATCAATGAAGCCAGAAGCTGTTTTGTTTTAAAAAATAGAAATAAAAATAAGATAGATAGACTGCTAGCTAGACTAATAAATAAGAAGAGAGAAGATCCAAGTAAACACAATTAAAGTCAACAAAGGGGATATTACCACTGACCCCACAGAAATACAAATAACAATCAGAGAACACTATGAATACCTCTATGCAAACAAACTAGAAAATCTAGAAGAAATGGGTAAATTTCTAGACACATGCACCCTCCCAAGACTGAACCAGGAAAAAATTGAATCCCTGAACAGACCAATAAAGAGTGCTAAAATTGAATCAGTAATAAATAGCTTACCAACCCACAAAAGCCCAGGACCAGATGGATTCACAGCTGAATTCTGCCAGATGTATAAAGAAGAGCTGGTACCATTCCTACTGAAACTTTTCCAAAAAATTGAAGAGAAGAGACCCCTTCTTAACTCATTCTATGAGACCAGCATCATCCTGATACCAAAATCTGTCAGAGACACAACAAAAAAAGAAAACTTCAGGCCAACATCCTTGATGAACATTGATCCAAAAATCCTCAACAAAACACTTGCAAACTGAATCCAGCCACACATCAAAAAGATAATTCACCACAATTAAGTAGGCTTCATCCCCAGGATGCAGGGTTGGTTCAACATAAGCAAATCAATAAATGTGATTTATCACATAAATAGTACTAAAGACAAAAAACACATTATTTTCTCAATAAGTGCACAAAAGTCTTTCAACATGTTAAAAACTCTCAATAAACTAGGTATTGAAGGAATATACCTCAAGATAATAAGAGCCATTTATGACAAACCAGCAGCCAACATCATAATGGAAGGGGAAAATCTGGAAGCATTCTCCTTGAAAACTGGCAAAGACAAGGATGTCACCACTCCTATTCAACATAGTATTAGAAGTCCTGGCCAGAGCACTCAGGCAAGAGAAAGAAATAAAGGGCATCCGAATAGTCAGAAATGAAGTCAAACTATCCCTGTTTGCAGATGACATGATTCTATATCTAGAAAACCCCATAATCTTTGCCTAAAAGCTCTTTTAGCTGGTAAACAACTTCAGCAAAGTTTTGGGATCCAAAATCAATGTACAAAAATCACTAGCATTCCAATAAACCGATTACAGCCAAGTGGACAGCCAAATCAGGAACACAATCCCATACACAATTACCACAAAAAGAATCAAATACCTAGCAATACAGCTAACAAAGGAGGTGAAAGATCTCTCTACAATGATAATTACAAGACACTGCTCAAAGAAATCAGAGGTGACACGAACAAATGGAAAAACATTCTATGCTCATGAATAGGAAGAATCAATATTATTAAAATAGCCATACTACCCAAAACAATTTATAGATTCAATGTTATTCCTATTAAACTACCAACGAAATTCTTCACAGAACCAGGAAAAAATATTTTAACATTCATATGGAACCAAAAAAGAGCCTGAATAGTCAAGGCAATCTTAAGCTGTAAGAACAAAGTAGGAAGCATCATGCTACCTGACTTCAAACTATACTACAAGATTACAGTAAGAAAAACATATAGACAAATGGAACAGAATAGAGAGTCCAGACACAGGGCCATACACCTATAACCATCTGATCTTTGACAAAGCTGACAAAATCAAGCAATGGGGAAAAAACTCCGGATTCAATAAATGGTGCTGGGATAACTGGCTAGACATATGCAGAAAATTAAAACTGGAACCCTTTCTTACACATTATACAAAATAAACTCAAGGTGGATTACAGAATTAACTGTAAAATCCAAAGCTATAAAAACCCTAGAAGGCAGCTTAGGTGATACCATTCTGGACATAGGAATGGGCAAATACTTCATGATGAAGATGCCAAAAGCAATTGAAACAAAAGCAAAAATTGACAAATGGGACCTAATTAAACTAAAGAGCTTCTGCACACCAGAAGAAACTATCAATAGAGTAGACAGACAACCTACAGAATGGGGGAAAATATTCACAAACTATGCATCTGACAAAGGTGTAATATCCAGCATCTAATAGGAACTTAAATTTGCAAGAAAAAGCAAACAAACCCATTAAAAAGTGGGCAAAGGGCATGAACAGACACTTTTCAAAAGAAGACATACATGTAGCCAGCAAACATATGAAAAAAGCTCAGTATTGCTGATTGTTAGAGAAATGCAAATCAAAACCACAATGAGACACCATCTCACACCAGTCAGGTTGGCTATCATTAAAAAGACAAAATATAACAGATGCTGGTAAGGTTACAGAGAAAAGAGAATGCTTGTACACTGTTAGTGGGAGTATGAATTAGTTCAACCATCGTGGAAAGCAGTGTGGCAATTCCTCAAAGAGCTAAAAACATAACTACCATTCAACCCAGCAATCTCACTACTGGGTATATATCAAAAAGAATATAAATTGTTCTACCATAAAGACACATGCATGCATATGTTCATTGCAGCACTATTCATAATAGCAAAGACATGGAATCAACATAAATGCCCACCAATGATATACTGGATAAAGAAAATGTGGTGCATATATACCATGGAGCCATACTATGCAGTCATGAAAAGAAGATCATGTCTTTTGCAGGAATATGGATGGAGCTGGAGGCTATTATTTTCAGCAAACTCATGGGGGAACAGAAAACCAAATACCGTATGTTCTCACTAATAAGTAGGAACTAAATAATGAGAACGTGGACACAAAGAGGGCAACAACAGACACCAGGGCCTACCTTTGGCTAGATGGTAGAAGGCGGGAGACGATCAGAAAAAATAGATATTGAGTACTAGACTTAGTACCGGGGTGAAAAATCATCTGTACAACAAACCCCTGTGACATGCATTTACCTGTATAACAAACCTACACATGTATTTGTAACCTAAAATAAAAGTTTAATAAAAAGGACTTTAGAGGCTACTGGCGTGGAACGAAGATATGCTGTATATAGGAGGGATATAAATTTGGAGGGCCAGGAGCAAAATGCTATGGTTTGAATGTGTTCCCAATGTTGGAAACTTAATCCTTAATGCACCCCTGCTGAAAGGTAGGACCTTTAAGAAGTTCTGTCCTCCTGAATGAGTTAAGGCCATTATTGCAAGAGTGGGTTCCTTATTACCAGAGTGGCATCCTCATAAAGGGTGAGTTCAACCCTCTTCTCTCTGCATTGGCTCTCTTGTCCTTTCACCTTCCACAATGGAGTGATGCCACAAGAAGGCCCTCTGCTAGATGCATGCCCCTTGACTTTGGACTCTCCAGCCTCCAGAACTGTAGAAAATAAATTCCTATTTTGTATAAATTATCCAGTCTCAGGTATTCTGTTACAGCAGGATAAAACAGACTAAAACAAAGATGTATTTTCGTACAATAAATGCGTTATATAAACTTATTATTGGTGCACTATACATGATTGAAGCTGACTTTTGAAGACTAAATTAAAGGTCTTAATATTATGCTTAGCATTGTTTCTATAGAAAACAATTCATTTTTCATTCCAGACTGCTGATTTTAAAATGAATTATTAAGAACATTATCTTATTGCTTATACTTCCTTTTTAAAAGAATTAACTTGTACTGTCTTTGACCCAACAGTAATTCTACTATACCCTGGGAACTGCAGGTTCTGAAGGGGATGACATCAGAATGGGTTTATGGTATTTACCAATGGAACTATTTCTGTCTATATATTGAAAGAAACTGAAAGAGAGAGAGAGAGGAACCAAGGCAGAGCAATGACACACTCTCACTGAAATCCTAGGAACATCAATTTTCAAAATGTACTGGTAAATATGAGTTATAAACATAGCCTACATCTTCAGCATCTGGAAATAATCTTCGGTTGTTATATACGCCTTATACATGTCATGATTTAGAACTAAAATCTGAGTCTCACAGAGAGTTCACTACGTCCAAAGTGCTGGGAGCTTGAATTTTTCCCTGAAAAGCAATCATGCGTGTGGTTTACAGAACATCAAAGCCAAGAGAGTAGCACCATATAATAAGCTTTCTGTCAGTGTTCTCTGTATGTATCAAAGTCAGGTCAAGCATCCAACATGTCCATTACTGGCAATGAGAAAGTAACACAAAATAAAACTTGCTACCACTTAAATTTGTACTAGTGTGCATAGCCTGGTTAGGAAGTCAACACATCAAAAGGATCTAGCTTACATTCTACACCAATAGCTATTTTTGTTACTTGAAACTATAGGAAGGCATAGTTTTTTTTCTGTGAGTTATGATTTACAGATAGATTTCCTGGAGAATTAGAAAAAAAATGAACATCTGGGCAAGTGTACAGTGGGGAAAATGAAGGAGAATACATAATTGTTAGAACACTTCCACAACATAGCTTTTAAAAATGAGGGTAACTTTTTCATTAAGTGATGATAACCTTTTAGAGAACAACAAGATTGGTGAATAAATACAATAAATATTTAGTAGTCAGTAACTTTCCTGTTGCTTAATATCTGGGAAAGACAGAGCATAAAGAGTAAAAAGTTTCAGTTCAGACAAATAAATTCTCCTCTACCTTAATTTATCTTAATTTTAGAAATTGTTCTACTGACATGAAATAGCCTTTCCAAAAAGATAAAGTAATATGTTAATTATCTCTGTTAATTTTAGAGGTTTTCATTTCAAACATAGGAAGAGTCCAAAGATTAAGTTATAAAATATTTAACAAATGTTATAGGGTGAGATGTTGTGAAGGGCTCAGTAGTAGAGGATATTATATTTTCCCTGAAGGTATTAGCACATTTGTTGCAGAGAAAGGAAATACATATAAAAAAAGTGTAAAGGAAAAATAAAAGCCCAAGGAACAATAAAAGCCAAAGTTCCAATGCCACATTAAGGGACATGGACCCTAAAATTGAGAATTCAGCATCATAGACTGGAAAGTTCAGGAGTTCTTGGAAATGACTGTAATTTTAATTTCTACAATTAAAAATATATAGAATCTCTATTGAAATAGTTTTTTAATTAATCAATTAGCCTTCTAGTGCATATTGAATGAGTACATACAATCATTATTCAAGATCAGATAAGCATGATTACAACTCATTCACTCAGTGGTATATTCTTCAGTTGAACATTTTGGTTGCTGTGATCATTTTGAATGTTACAAAGCCTCAACTTGCTTTTATTCTTGATCACAAATAGATAATAATAGAAATGTAAAATAGACCTTGAATTAAAGGCAGAAAGCATAAAGAGCTCAATGTGAAAAACAAGTGAATCTTAACTTTCATGTGAAACTCTGATGAGAAAGAACCATCACATTCTTCATTTTTGTTTGTGTAGTCAACTTAAATGGATCCCATGACTTAATCTTGCTGGATCAGTGGGAAATTTAATATTAGTCATTACTGCATCTTCTGCTCATCTCCACCACTGGCAGCTGTAGGTCTCAGGTTTTCACAAAGCACGATTGAGAAGGCCTCTCTAGTCTGCCCTTCTTGCTAGTTCATCTGAGGTGTTTATGTTCTGAGTCTTCTCATCAGTCAATTAATGTTAATATCTACCAGCTTTACTTCCACTGCCATACAGGTGTGCCCAGACACTCTGAGTGTTTTGAGACCTTGGGGCCTGGTCTCCAGCTTCCTTAGGTGCATAGTGAAGACACTCCCCACTGGGTCTCAAAACCTTCCTGGGATGGTGCCATGCATGTGTGTGGTCTTGCCCCTTCCACTTACATCATAACTTCCTCTAGCTCTCAGGGCTGTAGTGAGAAATAAAAATGGTACAACCTTTAAATCATTTTTACTTTCCTTTTCAAATCTTTTTTGAGGCAATAGCATAGGAAAGAGAACTTCACCATTTTATTTTATTTCAAATCAGCATATCTAGGAGAAACTGGTGGGGAGAAAGACATGAAGCAGGGATACTCAGCATACAGTAGTGTTCCATATTTTGGCTGGGGTTAATTTCTAACAATGTATGTGCTAGAAATCAAATAAAATTATCCTTGAAAGTATACTTAATTTCCAATAGAGTACGGTATCCATTACTTTGTATATTCAACTCTGTTCTAAAATGTTTATGTGTAAATAATAGAAACATTAGTAACATAAAAGCATTTGTGAATGGAATTTTATCATATAAACACATCATATATACCTGTATATATTTGTATGTGTGTATATATATACACACACACACATATGTAGAGCCTCCTTGCTGCATATATGCATACATGTATACATGTATGTCCATGTGCATATTTGCTTTCTGTTTTGATTGTCCTTTCTTTCACTTATCCTCTACAACCTGGAAAGTTTAATTTGTGTTGAATGAATGGGACTATCAGCCACCTTACAACCTAAGCTCAAAAGGAAGACTAGCTCCTTTGGTGATTTTAATTATTCTAAAATTATAAGCATTTCAGGCCGGGTATGGTGGCTCATGTCTGTGATCCCAGCACTTTGGGAGGCCAAGGCAGGACCCGAGGTCAGGAATTCGAGACCAGCCTGGCCAAAATGGTAAAACTCTGTCTCTACTAAAAAATACCAAAATTAGCTGAGCATTGCGGTGCGTGCCTGTAGGCCCAGCTACTTGGGAGGCTGAGGCAGGAGAATTGCTTGAACCAGGAGGCAGAGGTTGCAGTGAGCCGAGATCAGGCCACTGCACTCCAGCCTGGGTGAGAGAGTGAGACTCTGCCTCAAAAATAATAATAATAAAAATAATAAATAAATAAATTTGTAAATTATAAGCATTCCTTCTTCTGAATACTGATGAAGAACAGAAGAATCTGCTCACTCACAATGCCCAAGTCCTTTTCCGTGAAGGGTCAAGACCAATGGTTAAGGTGAAATACGATGTCTTCTGGGTCAGTTCAGACAATTTTAATGGCTTTGGACAACCCAATGAGGCTTATCTCATTCTGTGATTCATTTGGTAACTCTTATATTAAAATCCTTTTGTGCATAATCTCAGTTGGAGCAAGTGTGACATCATGCTATAGCCAACATGGAGAGGAGGAACATTGAAATAGAAATATTTATATCAGAGAGGCCTATTACAGAAACAGAGTAAGCACTGATGAACTGTCTTGAATGCCAAGCTAAGAATTTTTTTGCCATGCAGTAAGATGTTACAGTACATTTCTATGAGGTGACAACTAGGTGAAAAACAATTTGTTTGGTATTCTAATAGCAAAAAACCTGAAAAATAATTATAACAAAAGGTGACAATATGATGTCTCTGATAAGCTGTCTTTCAGAAACAGTATTTTCATACATAAGATGCCAGAAGATGAAATGTAGCCTATTTTTCAAAGCTGAGAGAAAAATAAATGAAAATAGTATCTGGCATACACAGAAGATGTAGGGGAGTATTATTCATAACCATGAGAGGTTAGTTGAAGATAGAATATTGGGCTTAGTCTTATTAAATGAGATTATTTGGAGATAGAGCCTAGAACTGCAAACGTTAACAAGCTATTCAGGTGTTTGTGTTTTTTTTGTTGTTTTTTGTTTGTTTGTTTGTTTGTTTTCTGAAACTTACGTGTCTCAGACTACTGCAGAAATCAAGTGAGTATATTGATTCTAACATGTTTTATTTTCTGAGTCATTTAGACTCCTTGAATTTCAATCCCCTGTTCTGCAAAATAAGGAAAATTTTATCTGCAATAACTATATCATTTAGGGAATTACCTATATAGTTTAGGGGATGACTGAAGAAGCAATCATATATAAAAAACACTTTCAAACTTAGAAGTGCCAGACAAATGCATGTTGCTGTGGTTGTTGAAACCTGTATTACCATTATACCTCAATTCCTTCCTCAAAATTTGTATTTCTTCTTCTATGCTATGTAATGCATACTCTGTGGAAGCTAGGTCCAATAGCCATTAATCTTTAAAAGGCTTAGAAGAATTTGTGTTCCAGTCAATGAAAAGCATTAAAGCTGGAAGGGATTTTAGTGTATCTTTTCAACACATCTAATTCAATGTTTTACAGATGAAAAGGTTGAGATCTAGAGATTTGAAATTCTTCTGTCGTTTTTTTCATATTAGAAAATCAAAGATGATTATTTGTATTTTTTAAATAAAAGTATATCAAATATTAGATATGCATCCATGAGTATATTCATTCTAAAATTCATTTGTTCTTTCTTTCCCACTCCCCAAACATGCCAAAAAAAAATGTTTAATAGAGGACTTGCGTCAAAGTTCCAAGCCCTCTGGAACTTTGGTTCTGGGTGTGGTAAGCATAAAGAGGGTGAAAGCGTTCTGCTATCTGGGTTGAGTTTTTGGAGGGCTTAATCCCAAAGTCCTAGAGAGTTGACATTTTTTTTGAGATACCCCAGATCTGTTTTTTGCAGATATCCTAGGATTCAGCAAAAATAGCCCAATATAAATATTCAAGAAATCTGCCACACGTTGATAGAAAATTTTGGCAAATATGTAATCACAGATGGTACATATCACTGAATCTAAGTAAAATCAATCATAGACTCAAAGGAAAGACCTATGATTTAAGAAACTAGAATAATATAGACTCTCATTTTACATAAAAGCAAACTAAGGCTAAGAAATATTATTTTGTGCCCCGAAAGTTAAAGATTATGGAAGAGTACCACCTTGATCTACTCATGCATAATGCAGATCAGCTTTCACTTTACAGGATGCTAATTTTAAAACAAGACTTTCCTGCAAAGTAAACTCTCATATCCAATGTCAACTTTGCAAAGAGAGTAGTTAACAGGCCGCTGAATATTCACTCTTCTAATGTGTATTACCAAACTGATAAAACATTGGAAGGCACTGAGAACAATCTGATATATTAGTATTCTGAGGCATAATCTTTAATCTTAATTATGTTTATCCCTCGATCTTAACTCTAATCCTTAAAAAAATAGTCAAATTGCTTCAATTCCTGTCTTCAGAGTTATGTAGTTTTAAATGTGTGTTTTATGTATAACATACATTTTTAATATAAAAAAAGAAAGAAAGCTTATATTTTAACATTTTCCTTATTTCAGTCTAACACGATTATTATTATATTAAGTGACTTAAATTTCATGGGTGAAAATAGCTTTTACAGAGTCATTTTATGTTGCTTTCCATGCATTTTTTTATATCACAATGCACTACAAAGACCTGCTGTTAGTATGGTCACAAATAAAATATACAGTGGATTATTAAACAGTCAAAGAAGGACAATACAAGAAGGCACTGCATATGGGAAATCAGCCAACATATAAAATGTCAGCTCTGCCAGTGACCAACACATGGATAAAGACAAGTGTTGTTCACTAGGAGGAAAAGTAGTTTTGAATGATGACAATTGTGTAAAAATGCAATAATGCAAAAGCCTTTTTCCCAATAAGAAATAGATGTGATTTTTTATGGTTTTAAGCTTTAAAACTATTTTTAGCATACTGGAGAAAAATAAATATATTTAAAAAATGAGGTTGATTATTCATCGAATGTATTTTCTGATATAAAAGTGCACACAAGAGCTTTTTTTTTTTGCAGTGGAGGAAAAACATTATGACTAGGATTTTACTTCATGCCTAAGGAAAAGTCTTCATTGCTAAATCAAGAATGAATGATGCTTGTTTTGTTGTTCATTACATTTTTAAAGTGAAATTAAATAATATTTATAATAATAAACTCTTCATATGAAAGACTATAAGATAGAGCTTATTTTACGTGTTATATGAAAAATCACATACATGGTCAAGATAAAAATTGTTCAAAGTATTAATAACTATTAAGATACCATCCCACATCTTTCTTTTTTCTCTTTTTTATTCCTTTCTCATCCTCTTGTGCATATGCAATTATGCCTATTCATTTTAGATGTTTATATGATACACAATTAACAAATTATTTTCAAAAGTCTGTACTCAAGCATTAAAGCCCAATTAACAGGATCATATGCAAGATCTTTTATCTGTCTACCAAAGATCATTTTTCCACTTTCTTCTTGTATAATTATTAAAATTAAGAAACACAAATATTCTGAAATTTTAAAAATATATGAAGCTGTATATAAACTAGGAGCATACCTAAATTGCACAAATGCCAGAATACAGGCATAGCAGATTTAATCTTCTAGCAACATTATTTTAGGAAACTAAATTTAATGTCAAAATATATTACTCAAGAAAAATAAGATAAAAATTAACATTTAAAGACTTTCTTATGAAATTTTCCCTGGAACCAATGGAGCAAAATGCTTGCTTTGATTCGCATTTGACTCCAATAGCTTAAACACTGTTCATTAAACCACATTTAATATATTATTCCATTAAGTCTCTGACATAAAGGAGTTTACATTGAGTTAGGGAATTGAGATTTCCTGCTAAATAATATACAGGAATGAAGTAATAATAAAAGTATTGCAACAAGTACATGAACAACTGCTAAACACCGATTGGTGAGTTCAAGGGAGAAGCTATTCTCCTTGGGTAATCACCTACTGAGGAGTCTTTTTGGAGGTAGAACTTAGCCAGGAACTTGAACTATAAGGCTGGAAGAAAGGTTAGGAAAGTACAAAGGGAACAGATTGGGCAAAGGGTGCAATATGAAGGAGCATTGATTGTAGTCATTTGATTACAGTAATTGAAAAGCAATGAGGCACATATAGTTGAAAAGATCATTTGGGCAGGAATGAGATTGATTAGTACAGTGCCTGATCAATGCTTGATGAATTGAACTGATTTGATTATTTTACCCTAAACTTGCATTTTGCACTCAAGTAAAACATGAAGCTAGAGATCTCCCAGACATTTTTGTTGCTGTTTTTCCTCATTACTGGGGCTGCGCTATGCCATGGCTACGGGATATAGTGGTGACTTTCAGCTATTACAACTATGCTTCCTCCTAGTAAATGTTGTTGCTTCTCCTCTTCACAATTCAAGAGGTAATCCCAGTGCCATCTGCATTATTCAGATGGAGATCATAAATATTTTTGTACCAGGTGACCAGCACAGCCTTGTCCTTGCGATTTGTCATGCGTTTTCCCCTTCAATCCTTGATCTCCATTGCCCTGAAGCCCCAGCTCCCTGAACACAAAGCCTATCTTTAAAGTGAACACAAATGACATGTTAATGATTTGTAGAAACACAAAGCAGGCGGTTAATGACCATAGTTGAAATTAAGGACTTCATTTTCATCAGCTCAGCAGGGTTTGAAACAACCAGAGAAAGCTCAGGAATGAGGCCTTGCTAATGCACCTGCTTCCAGGCATGAGGGCAGCTTAACATTAACTTTCAGTCAATGATCCATAGCCCTCTTGAGGGAACTTACCATTCTTCAATTCACTGGGACGTGCTGCTCCCTACCCACTTCCTATTACACGGATACCAGCTGGGAGCCTGATACCCAGTTAGGTTTTCATTTATGAGATGCTTGGATGATAATAGAGGCCAGAGTCAAGTAAAGATTTTTATTCATATCGGTGAGGTGATTATAGCCTGCTGCAGAAAGGGATGACTAGTAATTTGGACAGGGAGATGGTACCTTTGTATTTGCTCCCTCCCCTACCTCCCCAGATATATTTTCTTCCTAATGGAATCTTGACTATACCACCCCACTCTTGAAACTATTCAATGGCTTACTATTGCTCTAAGGATAGAGACTAAGTTTCTTGACATGGTCTGTAGTATCCTGCCTGGCCTGACCCCAGCTGACAGCTCTGATATCAACTCATATTGAAATTTACTCTACTCTCTGTTCTTATCTCAGTTTCTTTCTTTCAGAAACTCCAGGGTACCTTCCTCAGCCCTGCCACAGGATTTTATACTTGTTGCTACAGTTTTCCAAAATGCTCTTGCCCGTTCTTCAGATAACTTACACTTATCCTCAGGAAAGCTCTTCTCTGATTTCGCTAGCTAGGTCAAATAAAATGCCTCCTTGAGATATAATCATAGCATCATAAAGCTCAGTTATATTTATTAATGTAATTTTTTAGTGACTATTCTTCCTCTAGATGGTACGTTCTGTGGAATCAAAGAAAGTCAGTATTGTTCATCTTGGATATCCAATTACCTGGCATATTGACCAGCAAATAGAGGACACACTAAATATTTATGAAATATAAGGATATTTAGGACAAATAAAATTACAAAAATGAAAAGCACCACATATGTGTGTATGTACATAAACACACACATACACACATATATAGTACTTTTACAATTAGAAGACTATAGAACACATCAACGAATGTTAGAACATGAAAATGAGACACTAGACTATAAAAGATAGTAGGTCTTTCAGAAAAGAGATTGAAAAGCCAAAAGAATGAGAATTGAGTCAAAAGAAAAACATAGCAATTAAAACCAGGATCACAGTAAAACATTATTTTAAATTGCTTACATTGATCATATAGCCTACAATTTACACAAAATCTGATACATTCTTATAGATTATTAAATTGCACTGTCAAAACTAAATCTATGACATGGAAATATCATCGTGACACAAAGATTAAATGTGTTGCACAATTGAAGATCACCTTTTAAAGAATATGTTAGCTTTCTCTGACAGAAGAGTGTAAAATTATGCTTTCCTGACTCTTAATAAATATAATAATTATTTCTACCTAAAATTAATAAGTGTTCTTACAGGTAGATAAGCCACCAATACCACAGGTGATGATAATTCAAGGTTACAATAAAAATATTGGTCTTTTTTTTCCCCAGTGAAAGACCCATGACAACTGTATGCTAGCATACAGCAGGTGTGTACTGCATCTCAAACACCCCTGTTTCACTTTCTTCCTACTGACCAAGGACAAATTTAATTTGTGGGCTCTGCCCTCATCACCATTAAGCTGACATGAATAAGAGGACCCATTTCAAATTGATTTTAAGTTTTCAAAAAATGAAAGCATATAAAATATACCCCAAAAAGTTTGACTTCAGAACACTGCTTCACACTAACAATACTTAGTATGGTCTGGCTCTGTGTCCCCACCTGTATCTCATCTCAAATTGTAATCCCTACATGTTGAGTGATGGACCTGGTGGAGGTGATTGGATCATGGGGGTGGGTTTCCCCTATGCTATTCTCATGATAGAGAGTGACTTCTCATGAAAACTGATGGTTTAAAAGTGTTTGGTAGGTCCCTCCTCCCTCTCTTTCTCTCCTGCTGCCATGTCAGATGCGCCTTGCTTCCCCTTCACCTCCCACCACCATTGTAAGTTTCCTGAGGCCTCCCCAGACATGCAGAACTATGAGTCAATTAAACCTCTTTCCTTCATAAATTACCCCGTTTCAGGCAGTTATTTATAGTAGTGTGAAAATGGACTAATACAATACTTAATATTTTTACAAGCCAAATCATTTTCTACATAATCATTTAATATAAATAGACAGTTAACAGAATAGGAAAATCACCATGAAAATCTGTGTTCCGCAGTATCATTTACTTTATTTTCACAACATACTATGTATACACGGATAGCGTGGTTTGGATGTGTGTCCCCTCCAAATCTCATGTTGCAATATGATTCCCAATATTGGAGGTGAGGTCTGGTGGGAGGTGATTGGATCAGGGAGGTAGATTCCTCATGAATAACTAAGCACCATTCCCTTGGTAATAACTGAGTTCTCACTCACTTAGATCTGGTTGTTTAAAAGTCTGGGACCTCTCCCTTCTCTCTCTTGTTCCCTTCACCATGTGATATGCTGGCTTCCCTTCCCTTCCACCATGACTGTAAGCCTCCTGAGGCCCTCACCAGAAGCAGATGTTAGAACCATGCTAGTACAGCCTGCAGAACTGTGAGCCAATTCAACCTCTTTTTATAAATTTCCCAGTCTCATGTATTTTTTTTATAGCAAGGCAAGAGCACATTTACACAGATAGGCATTTATATGAATATTAATAAACATGAAAAGACTATTTGATTTTTTATGGTGAAATCAAGTCACATTTACCAAATAAAAACAAATATTTCTACTGATAAATTTTAATAAAGCTTAATGACTACTTGTATCAATTTTTGGGATACATGTGTAGTTCTGATTGATATGTAGGACCACATTTGCCATAAAACAAATATACAAAAATCATTGATTGTGGTTTTTTTCTATTTTGAGAATTACTCAGGTTACTAAAATGGTAAATTAGAGTTTAGAAACAGGAAACCTGAAAACATATTTTTTTTCTTTAAACCCAATTACCTAACTACACTTTGAGTTCCTCAAGTGTAGGGCCTTATTTATTTTCATGTTCCATCTCTGAATGAAATAACTGATGCTAACAGCTGTAACAAATAACATCAAAATCTCAGGAGCTTTACAGAATAAAAGTTCCCTTCTTGCCCACAGATTAATCCAGTGCAGATATTACTGGGAAGGCAGATGCTTGGGTGACATTGCAGGGTGTGTTTCCTCTAAGTGGTGACTCAGAGATGCAGTTCTTGATGCCGTATCACCTTTAAATGACCTTTCAGATTGCTGCAAAAATAGAAGACAGAGTAAAAAGTTTTGTGTGTGAGATTTTCATAAACCATATCTGGAAGTGGCATATATTGCTTCTACTGGCCAGAAGTGAGTTACAGAGCCCCATCTAAATGCAAGGAGTTCGAAAAATGTTTAGTTCTGTTCCTTGGCACAGAAGAGAAAAATAATAGTCTCTGAAATACCCAATATAGAGTAACAGCATAGCAATTGCTTGACTTATATATACCTAACTGAGATGATGTGGAAAATATAGAGAAGAAAAGTGTGTTTTATCACTCTCAGTAAAAGAATTTATAATATAATTAGGGAACAGACACCTGTGAAACAATGTGTGAACAAAGCAATACAGTATATGCCAGTGCATCATTGCACTGACTGACATAGTTAAATGTCAAGTGGTACAGTACAAACCACTAGAGGCAGGACAGTATCCAATTATGTGTTATTATTGTTTTATAATACACCATTACTAAATGAAATAGAAATTTGACTTGAGAGATTTTTCTGGATAGATGTTGTTGGAAAAGTCTTCTGAAGAAGCAGGAACTTGAGGTGAGCCTTGAGGAATAGCTCAGTCATAGATGTTAGTGGGGTTGGTTGAATGAGCTAGAACAGGAGATATGGGTGGGATAGAATTGACAAAAGCCTTGATATGTCAATCTGGTGACCTGTGTTGGTTTATAGGATTAGTATTAGAAATAATAGAAAATAAATCTAAACAGGCCAAGATGGGTTGAGAGGGCATTAGAAATTGAGAGGCTTTCAATCAGAAAGAAATGTTGAAACTCAGTGCAAGAGGCTACAATGAGCCATTATAAATTTATAAGCACATTTACAAGACTGACCTAATGAGAAGATAAATTTAGCAGTGGAGTTCTGTATAGTGTGCCAGTGATACAGATTTGATCGGCAGATTGTGGTGAGTGGAGAGCTTTAGAAGTCATCATTCAAAGATGAGATTTGATGAGGAATAACCTTCTTAATGATTTTGTTGGATACACAGACTAATTGGCCTGTGGATTTTTTTTCCTCCCAAGGGTGCACTGACTTTGGACACCAGAAAGTATCACCATGTACCTTTTTCAACTGTATTAGTTATCTATTGCTTTGTAACAACCCCAAACTTAAAGATTAGAACAAATGTAATTATCTCAAGCTGTTTTTGATATCTATAGCCATGCTTAAATTTTTGTGTTAAGAATTTGAAAGCAGTTTAGCTGGGTGTTTGTACCTTTGTTTCTCTCCTGGTGTTGGATTCAAGCTGTTGGCTATGACTGCACCCATCTGGGAACTTAATTTGGGCTAGAGGATTGGATTAAAAGATGGCTTGCTCACATGGCTGCTGGTTGGAGGCCTCAGTTTCTCAACACAGAAACCTCTTCACAGGGTTTCTTGAGTGTCCTCATGACATGGCAGCCGTCTTCTTCCAAAACAAGTGAAAACAAACAAGAAGTGTTCTTCCAGAACAAGAGAAAAGTGTTTGGTAGGTCCCTCCTCCCTCTTTTCTCTCCTGCTGCCATGTAAGATGCGCCTTGCTTCTTCCAGAAAAGCAAAAACAATAAAAGAAGCCACAATGCCTTCTATTATGACATAGTCTTAGAAGTCATGCATCATTATGTCTGCCATAGATTATTTCTTAGGAACAAGTCATTAAGTGTAGCTCATGCCCAAGTGGAGTGAGACTGAGTTTCTACCTTTTCAAGAAAGGAGTATCAAATAATTTATGGACATATTTTAAAACTACCACGGCAAGTTTGTCTTTGTCTATATCTGAAGGGATCTACTGCAAAATTATTTTCCATTTGGATTATTACTAATTCCAAGTCAAAAGTTTGGATATTTTCTTTCTTTCTTTTCTTCCTTCTCTCTCTCTCTCCTACTTTCCATCCTTCTTTCCTTTGAAATGAGAATTTACATAAATTTGCTTATAAAAGGAAAAGCATTTTGAATACCATTTAATTTTACATTTTATTTTCTTCTAGCCTTCTGAAGCCTTTTTTCTATAATACCCTCAGACGCTTCATAGAATACTTTCCTTCATTTCTTGTGTTAAATGAAACCCAAGTCTCTTTTGAGGACGACATTCTTTTCCGGTAATACTCTTGAGTAGAGGCTACTCCTTCTTCTCTGTCTCATTCATCTAAAAGCCCAAAGTTAGAAACACCACCTTTCCAGCTTCCTATACCATGTATAAATCACTACTCTTTCACTTTTCCAATAAATTTTTTTCTTTTAAAGTCATGTCATTAGGCTATGCCACCTTCTTTCCTGAAGCTGGAAATATTCTTCACCACTTCATCACTTGTACCATTGTCTTCTTCCCTAACCACCAGGAGACTTTAGGATCCTTGTCTTACAGCATGTAAGCCTTGTGATGTTTTAACTTCATAAGCCCAGGCCACCTCCCCTCTACTCTTCACCAGCTTTTTAAATCTATAGCCACACAAAAAATTGTTTCATTTCTGAACTCTTGAAGAGTAGTAAGCACTCTGTTTTTTCTTTTTCCCAGAATTCTCACTCTCATTATCCTGCTCTGAACATAGACTGATTTATGGAGCAAAAGTCCTTTAAAATGTCATTCTCCTTTACTCTATACCATTTCACTTTTAACTCGTATTCTTTCTCTAGCCGGCATCAAATCAAACTCCATCATTGTAGTGTTTCTTGACCTCTTCACCTTGTCCTGCTTTCTTTCCACTTATTCCACTTCTTAAAGTCTGAATCAATCCAGCTCCCCACTGTTACTGATTTGCGGATGAAGGATCCCAGATAAAACCATTTTTCTGAGATAAATATAGATCTATGGACCTCAACTTCATCTTAGAAACACCATAATATGGCTGCGTTAGTTATTTATTGTTGTGTAGTGAATTACTACAAACTTTGTAATGAATTACTACAAACTTAATCACTAAAAACAGTACCCACGTATTATCTCATAGTTCTGGTCATTAGAAGTTCAGGCTGGCTTGGTTGAGTTCTCTGCTTAGAGTCTCATAAAGCCCAACCTGGTTTCTGAACTAAAGGCTTTGAGAAAAAAAAATGCTTCCAAGTTTATTCAAATTGTTCGAAGAAGCCTGCTGGTGGCAGTTATAGGACTGAAACCTCACTTTCTTGCTGGCTATTTGCTTGAAGTGACTCAGCTTTTAGAGATCACCTGCATTTCTCTTCATGTGGCCCCTTTCATCTGCACAGTCAGTAATGACATGCTGAAACTTTCTCATGCTTTCAGATATCTGTGACTTCCTCTTCTGCCACCAGCTCAGAAAACTCTCTAGTTTTCAAAGGCTCATCTCATTAAACCAGGCCCATTCAAATAATCTCCATATCTTAAGGTTAACTGACTTGGACTTTAATTATATCTGCAAAATCCCTTCACGGTAGTACCAAGATTCATATTTGATTTTATAACCAGAGCAAAGAGATCATAAGGAAGCTATATCTGGAATTCTGCTTGCCACAGTGGCTCTAGTTAGCTCCATCACTCATGCACCCAGACAGCTTTTTCAACCTTCGCAATAACCCTATTCCACACATGCCCTTACTCATTGTTAAACTAAGTCTTCACCTATCCTTTTTCTGCATGGAGGAAAATAAAAACAATTAGGTGAGAAAATATCCGTTAAAATTCTGGGCCTATATCTGGTCCTGGAAAAAATTCATGAATTATTTCCTCAGCATTCAATATATCCTGACCCTCTAGCAACCAAAGTTTTAACCCTTTACTTTCTCAATGAGTTCTAACACCCTATCTGCTAAGCCGTCTCTCAGATAAATATCCTCTTTCTCATGCTGTTCCTTTCACTAGTGGTTTTTTTTTCTGTTTTTTAAATAATTTCAACTTTTGTTTTAAATTCAAATGGTACATTTGCAGGTTTGTTACCTGGGTATATTGCATGATACTGAGGTTTGGGGTACAGTTAATTCTGTCAACCAGGTAGTAAAACAGTACCCGACAGTTTTTCAGCCATTGCTCCCCTCCCTTTCTCCCCACTCTAGTAGTCTCCATTATCTATTTTTCTTATATTTATGTCCATGTGTACCCAATACTTAGCTCTCATTTATAAGTGAGAACATGCGGTGTTTGGTTTTCTGGTCCCGTGTTAATTTGCTTTGGATAAAGGCCTCTAGCTGCATACATGTTGCTGAAAATAACACAATTTCATTCTTTTTAAGTGGCTGTATAGAATTGCATGGTATATATGTACCATACTTTCTTAATCCAATCCACCATTGATGGACATCTAGTTGATTCCATGTATTTGCTACTGTGGATAATTCTGCAATGAGCATACAAATGCATGTACTTTTTGGGTAGAAAGATTTATTTTCCTTTGGGTATATACCCAGTAATGGGATTGCTAGGCCAAATGGTAGTTGTGTTTTGAGTTCTTTGAGAAATCTCCAAACTGCCTGCCAAAGTGACTGAATTAATTTCCATTTCTGCCAAGAGTGTATAAGGATCTCTTTTTCAATGTAGCCTCACCAGCATCTGTTATTTTTTGACTTTTTAATAATAACAACTCTGGTGTGAGATGGTACCTCATTGTGGTTTTGATTTGCATTTATTTGATGATTAGTAATGCTGAGCATTTTTCATGTTTGTTGGCTGCAGGTATGTCATCTTTTGAGAAGCATCTGTTCATATCCTTTGCCTACCTTTTAATGGGGTTGTGTTTTGCTTGTTGAATTGCTTAAGTTTTTTTATAGATTCAGGACATTAGACCTTCATTAGATGTATAGTTTGAAGATATTTTCTGCCATTCTGTAGGCTGTTTACTCTGCTGATAGTTTCTTTTGGAGTAGACAGACTGTGGCCCTATCTTCACTGTTCCTCACCTGGCAGGGCCTGCCAGCTTCAGCCCTCAGCACTTTTTTCTTCGTTTCCTTTCAGCATATAAATATATACTAGTTACTCTAATATTAAAAAAAAGATGAAAAAAACATTTTTATTCCTTCATCTTTCTCTATCTATTGCTTCTTTTCACTCTTTTTGGTTGATACTTGGATATTTTTGTCTACATTCTCTGTATCAGTGTCTACAGTATTTCACAACTAAGTTATTACTGAATCTATTTTAATTTCATTGCTCTACAGATTATGTCTTCCCCCCAGAACATTACTGAAACAGCTCTTTATAAGGCTACTAATGCCCTTTCAGTATTACATCTAATGGCTACTTTTCAATACTTTCCATAAAACTTTTTACGGCATTTGAAAATATTGATTGTATTTTCTTTCTGAAGTGCTTTTTTCTCTAGTTTCCAAAATAGTTTGCTACTGACTTTTCACCTTCCACTCTGCAGAGGCATCAAGCAAAACAAATAATGTAGGATGGGATACAATATGAGAAATTAGAGATAAATGTCTCCAAGTGAATGCACTCATAGAATTTCACTATTTTTGGTTTACCCTGATGTAAAATTTTGAATGCTTATAACATCAAAGATCAAATTAAACATATTTTACATTTAACAAAGCTAATTTCCTAAATTGTCATGTTTTTGTTTTATCAAATTTTAGACCTTATTTTTTCTATGGCTTCTAGATATTAAATCATGACAATGCTACAGTTTTGGGAATGTGATACCATGCAAAGCATATTATGTTTGGGTGACAGGGAGTGATTCCTAGGAACCTGTCTCCAAATCTTTGTTATTGTGTCTCTGATCATTCTTACTTGGTTTTTATTCACGGACTTTTAAGCCTTCTCTTCTTTTTAATGTTGTTCCTCACTGTGCTTTCTTGTGCAAGTCTTTTTACTTAACACAATTTTGTTAGATGATGTCATTCACTTCCCCGGTTTTAACTACCCATTATTGGTCAGCTCCAGCTTCCATAACACAATACCATAGATTGAGTGGCTTAAACAACAGATATTTACTTTTCACAGTTACAGAGGCTGGGCAGTCCAAGATCAAGAAATCAGCAGGGTTGGGTTCTGGTGAGGACTCTTCCTGGCTTGCAGACTGTTGACTTCTTGTGTCCTTAAGAACACAGACAGAGCAAGCTCTGTGGTGTCTCTTCTTATAAGGGCATTAATCCTATCATAAGGCCCCACCCTCAGGACCTCATCTAAACCTCATTACCTCCCAAAGGTTCCACCTCCAAATACTATTACAATGGGGGCCAGGGCTTCAACATATAAATTTTGGCTAGGGATGGTACCAACATTTAGCTGATAATATACTTCTATATCATTTAAATTTCCAATATCTTTATCTCTTTCCTTAGCTCAAATCTCCATAATTCATACTTATACTAGACACATTCATACAAATACCCTATACATGACTCCAAATTCCACGTCCTTGAAATTGAGTATTATCTCCTGTTGATGCTGCGGCCTCTCTCAGTGAATGGCTTTGCTATCTATGTAGTTTTCAAAACCCGGAAGACATTCTTGCTCCTTCTTTGCCTCATCACCCACATCACATCATTTGCCAACTCCTATTATTCTTACCCTTAAATAGCACTCAGATTTTTCTCTTCTCTGTTTTCACTGCCCCTGAATTGATTTGGACCTTCACTATTTCTGGCCCTGATTACTATAACTTGTCATCACTGGTTCTATCTCCAGGGCTCTCTAATCAAGTCTCCTCTTGGCCCTTAAAAGGCTGTTTCTAAAATGCAATTCTTTTCCTGTTAATCATTTCATTAAAAATACTCAGTGTTTCTTCACTGGCTTTAAGAGTAAACCCTAAATGTGTAGCCAGCATCTGTAGGCCACCTTGATCTGGCCCTGGCTACCATCCAGTCTCATTCCTCACCAAATTCTTCCTCAGGAATATTCCCCACATAGTTTTAATGGCTTGAAACAGACATAGTCTCTCACACTTGTGCACTTTTTCACAGTGTTCCTTTGGAAGCTAAATTTTACCCTCTCTATAAGACACCACAGCATTTGATAGCATTTGAAGTCTACATCTTCAAGCATTTTCTTTCTTTACTTTTTGAGACACCACGCTTTATTTTCTTCTTGGTACCTAGCACGACTTAACTTTAGATGACATATTTATAGTTTTATTTGTTTATTGACGACCTCTACCACCATAATTTTTGATCCATGAAAGCAGGAACTTTGAGTTGTTCACCACTCTAAGCTTAGTGCCTAGTATAACACCTATAACATAGGTGACATGCAACTATTTGTTGAATAAATTAATTGGTAACTTGGCAATAAATTAGATGGCAACTTGGCTCTGCCACTTGAGAGCATGTGCTTTCGAATAAAATATTTGACAGCTTTGTGTTTAAGAACTTAATTATAAAATGGCATACAATAACTATTGCATCTACTTCATGGCACTGTTGTAAGTGGTGTATGAATTATGTGAGTTAATACATATAAAGTGCACATATTAATGCTCAATAAAGGTTAGCAACCATGACCTTTGCAATGTCTTCTGTGACTCTGTTCACATCCTCCTACTTTTCTTTCCCCAGACATATAAGGCACATAGATAAGAATGCAAGGAGAAGGGGAATGAGTTGGATAAATCTGTGTATCTCTGGAAGCCACCTCACATTGTTAAGCTGAGAACTGGAGAAGAGTTTCAGAACACTTCAGACACTCAACAGCTTCTAACTAGAAATAATACCGTTTGACCCAGTCATCCCATTACTGGGTATATACCCAAAGGATTATAAATCATGCTGCTATAAAGACACATGCACACGTATGTTTATTGCGGCACTATTCACAATAGCAAAGACTTGGAGCCAGCCCAAATGTCCAACAATGATAGACTGGATTAAGAAAATGTGGCACATATACACCATGGAATACTATGCAGCCATAAAAAATGATAAGTTCACGCCCTTTGTAGGGACGTAGATGAAGCTGGAAACCCTCATTCTCAGCAAACTATCACAAGGACAGAAAACCAAACACCACATGTTCTCACTCATAGGTGGGAAATGAACAATAAGAGCACACGGACACAGGAAGGGGAACATCACACACCAGGGACTGTTGTGGGGTGGGGGGAGGGGGGAGGGATAGCATTAGGAGATATACCTCATGCTAAATGACGAGTTAATGGGTGCAGCACACTAACATGGCACATGTATACATATGTAACAAACCTGCACGTTGTGCACATGTACCCTAAAACTTAAAGTATAATAATAATAAAATAAAATAAAAAAACAAATTATTGAATAGAGATTCAGAAACAGGGGTGACTGTGTACTTTGCTGTAACATCACTTAGCTGCAGTGCTTCATTTCTAGGTCAGCTCCATGCTCCTACCTATGCTCTCTCTAAGTGAAGTTGCTCCTTGTTGAAATAGCGAAGTGGATTCTGTTGTTGTTTGGCTCCCTTCTCTAACCTCCTTGCCTGTCCCCTATTCCTGCTCTGCCTTTGCCTAGGCACCTACCTTAAGTAGCATTCTCCAAGAATTATTCCTAGCCAGCTTCACAGTTATAAAAAATCTGATAACTTAATTACAACTAAGATAAAATTTATACTGATAATGATTTAAGACTTTTTTGCTCCTGCAGGCTTTTGTATTTGAATACAGGAATTTTGAAGATCAAAAATCTTTCAAGAATCAAGGGACTCATAATGGAATATTATGCAACCTTTAAAATGATGTCAAATATGTAACGAGTGTTAAAAAATAAAATGGTTCATAGTGTATTGCTAAGGGGAAAAGGCAAGTTTCAAAAGAATAGATACAATATGATCCCCTGCACCTTTTCTTTCAATAAAGCATGTAAGTGTTTACCTGGAGTATCTAGGAATTGACTAGGTCTGATAAATGATATTCCCATCATTAAAGTCTTTCAATTCCAAAAATCTCATTTGAACAAGAAATTTCTAGCAGAAAAGTAAACGTGCATATGTGATAGGAAAACTTTTTAAAAAATGAGAATCAAATGAAGAATGTATTAAATAACTATCTCAGTTTGTATTAGTCAGAAACATCTGGTTGTAATTGAATATTTCATTTGATGATGTAAACTCAAAGTGTCCATATTTTGAAAAGGATAAAATTACCAAGGGTCAATAAAATTAATAGAAAAACACCTTAATAAACAGAGCAAGTAAATGGAAAGATTGATATGGAAAACAATGTCAATACTCTCATAATTAATCTACAAGGTCAATATGCTTACAATCAGTATCACAACTAGATTGTTCCTTCACAAAATATGACAAACTATGTTCGAATTCATACTGAAAAGTAGATATCCAAAATAGTTAATACAATTCTGAATAATACAGAAGGGGAGTTTACCTTATTATATTTCAAAAATTATTATTAAATTAAATAAATAGACAAACATAACCATTTCATTTCATTTTTAAAAACAAATAATACTAAAATAAATAGTTATATTTCCAGTGGTGAAATTTCAGGATAATTAACACATAAAGAGGCAGGTCTCTTCATACCCCCTGTTATTGCACATTATAACCAAAGCATAATTTGTTTTATTCCAAATGGCTGAACTGTCAAACATATTGTTGAATTTTACATATTTGGTTTGGAGACCTGTTGCTATCCTTGTCTATATCTTCTAATAACTTGTCAGTGATTTGGGAATATGAGAAATTTACTTGATGAGTGTACAATCCAAATGTATTAACAACAAAAAATTTGATTTACTCATTTTAAAGAAATCATAAGAAACTAGTGTTTAAGAATACACAGCTTTTACTATCTCTTCCTTATTTTGCAAATATGATACATATGTTGAATAGTCTACCTGCTTTTTGGCCAATGACATTTGGTTAATATAACCCTTTTGTTAAGGTAATCTGTCAAAATGCCGGAAAATATCTCCTCCTCTCAACTTCCTCCTCAACTGGCTGCAGTTTTACTACTTGTACCTGAATCTCATTGTCACCTTCAATTATAAGCAAGGGGAAGTCTGGATGCAAAAGAGAAAGGAGAAAGTAGGGGAGATCAGCATCTCAGTATCTTACCAGTATTCATCTATTTATCCACCACTTTGCATGACACAGGATTCCTGGGCAGCAGCTGAAGCTCACTGATTCTATTATCCCATTTTCTCACCACCTTCACTCTAACTTGTTTTCCTCAAGAAAATGTCCCAAGGTATTTTTTTCTCTGAGTAGATAAATTTAGTTTTCTTTTTTTTTTTTTTTTTGGCATACTTTTAGGTATATGATCTAAATGAAAAATATAGAGAAGAAAATTAGATTAAGATAGATTTGTTTGTAAAATTAGTTTTATCAAATTTTGTTTGCAAGAATAGTGATTTGTCTACATAGCTATCTCATTAAAAAATACTATTGCATCAGTCCATTTTTACACTGCTATAAAGAATACTTGAGACTGGATGATTTTATAAAGAAAGGAGGTTAAATTGACTCACAGTTCTGCATGGCTGGGGAGGCCTCAGGAAAATTACAATCATGGCAGAAGGCAAAGGGGAAGCAAGGCACATTTCACATGGTGGCAGGAGGCAGGAGAGAGAGCGAGAAGGTGGGAACTGTGAAACTTTCAAACCATCAGATCTCATGAGAACTCACTATTATGAGAACAGCATGGGGAAAGCACCCCCACGATCCAGTCACCTTCCACCAGGTCCCTCCCTCTACACATGGGGATTACAATTTGAGATGAGATCTGAGTGGGGACACAGAGCCAAACCATATCACCTCTTAAGGCTATGAAGCCGGATCAAGGCCGACTTTAGATTTTACCTACATTCTTAAGGTTCCTGGGCCTGCCAGGAAGTGACAATTTTTACTCATTCACTGTAAATCTGGGAATTGTTAAAACCAAGTATTCTATGCATATTCTCAAATATGATATTTCAGTAAGAGCCTTGGTAATATAACTAATGGTTTAAATTGTGTCTTGTTGTAAAGAGAGAGCATTTTTTTATTTGAACTTATGTAAATAACCATAATGCCACAATAATATTCATGAATTATTTGTGAATTTTGAAAGAAGTAGATAGAAAGTGCAACTGTCCTCAACTTTGTTCACAAAAACATACTTTATTAAATTGCTGTAAACTATAGATAGCTTAAGAGAAAAAGTTTCCTTAAACCTGGAAAACAAAAAAAAATTAAGAAAGGAACCAACACTCTTTCAAATAAAAGACATAAAAACATTATCATCAGCTATTTTTGAGACAGGGTCTCACTTTGTTGCCTAGTCTGGAGTGCAGTAGCACAGTCATAGCTTACTGCAGCAGCTTTGAACTCCTGGGCTCCAGGGTTCCTCCCACCTCAGCCTCTTGAGCAGGTAGGACCAGAGGTATACACCACACCTCACTAAATTTTTTTGTTTTTTGTAGAGATGGGGTCTTGCTATGTTGCCCATGTTGGTATAAAACTCCTGGCCTCAAGTTATCCTCCTACTTAACCTCCCAAAGCACTGGGTCATCAGTTATTTAATGTAATGTAAATAATTTTTTTTTTCTTTTTGAGACAGAGTCTTGCTCTGTCACCCAGGCTGGAGTGCAATGGCATGGTCTCAGCTCACTGCAAATTCTGCCTCCCGGGTTCAAACAATTCTCCTGCCTCAGCCTCCCGAGTAGCTGGGATTACAGGTGCCAGCCACCACACCTGGCTAATTTTTGTATTTTTAGTAGAGGCGCGGTTGCACCATGTTGGCCAGGCTGGTCTCGAACTGCTGACCTTGTGATCCACCTGCCTTGGCCTCCCAAAGTGCTGGGATTACAGGCATGAGCGACCGCGCCCGGCCTAAGGTAAATAATTTTATTTTTGCTTGATCTTGATTAGGATTTTCATGAACCCATCCGTTTGTTGATTAAAATTTTGGAAATTTTTGATTTAGCCCATTTAAAGTAATTAGAAACCTGTTCTTAAGAGTATTTTAGTTACAGCCTTTCCATGAATCCGATTGCAGATACTTTCATAGAAGAATTCTAAACAGTAACTGTGGATGACAGAGACTTAGAACTAAGTCATAGTTAAAAATCTGATGGAGGTTCATTATAATAAGAAATTTACAAGGGAATTTAGTTATTTTTGTGGTATACAACATAATATCCAGAACTACGAGTGATGACAGATTTCTAAGACTTCTAAATAATTTTGGAACATTCACATTAATAACATATGCATAAATGTAATTGAAAGATCTAACATCACTTATCATTTGACAATGATTTCTATACAATTTACCAAATAAACCTAATTATTTAATATATCTACAAAGTAAGACATACAACTTTTGAGGTTCCTAATGGGTCTAAATGAAAAAAACCTGAAGTTATTTATAGGTCATAAAGACTTAACTAATTAATTAATTATATTTTTTATTTTAAATTGTTATGGCTGCATGGTAGGTATATACATTTATGGGCTACATGAGATCTTTTGATACAGGCAAACAATGATAATAATCGCATCAGGAAAAACATGGTGTCCATCACCTCAAGCACTTACCATTTCCTTGTGTTACAAACAATTGAAATTGAATTATACTCTGTAGTTATTTTTAAATGTACAATAAATTATTTCTGACTGTAATCAATCTGTTATGCTATCAAATACTAGAGCTTATTCATTCTAATTATATTTTTATACTCATTAAACAGCTGCACTTTCACCCCCATCTACCCTTCCTAGCCTTTGATAACCATCATTCTACCATCTATCTCCATGAGTTCAATTATTTTAATATTTAGCTCCCCAAAACAGGTGAGAATATGTGAAGTTTTTCTTTCTGTGTGGCTTATTTCGCTAAACATAATGTCCTCCAGTTCCATCCATGTTATTGAAAATGACAGTATCTTATTCCTTTTTATGATCAGACAGTATTCTATTGTGTATATGTACCACTTTTTTTTTTTTTTTTTTGAGATAGAGTCTCACACTCTCGCCCAGGCTGTAGTGCAGTGGCGGGATCTCGGCTCACTGCAAGCTCCGCCTCCCGGGTTCCCGCTATTCTCCTGCCTCAGCCTCCGGAGCAGCTGGGACCACAGGCGCCCGCCACCACACCTGGCTAATTTTTTGTATTTTTAGTAGAGGTGGGGTTTCACTGTGTTAGCCAGGATGGTCTCGATCTCCCGACCTTGTGATCCACCCGCCTTGGCCTCCCAAAGTGCTGGGATTACAGGCGTGAGCCACCGCGCCCGGCCACCACATTTTTTTAATCCATTTGTTTGTTGATAGACACTTAGGTTGCTTCTAAATCTGGGCAAGTTTGAATCATGCTGCAATAAACATGGGAACACAGATATCTCTTTGCTACACTGATTTCTTTTCTTTTGGGTATACATCTAGCAGTGGGATTCTTGAATCATGTGGTAGTTCTATTTTTAGGTTTCTGAAAAATCTCCATGCTATTCTCTATAGTGTCTGTATTAATTTACATTCCCACCAGCAGTGAACGAGAGTTCCCCTTTGTCCACATTCTCACCAACATTTGTAATTACCTGTCTTTTGGATAAAAGCCATTTTAACTGTGGTAAGATGATAGCTCATTGTAGTTTTGATTTGCATTTCTCTGATGATCAATGATGTTGAGCATTTTTAATATGCCTATTTACCACCTGTATGTCTTCTTTTGAGAAATGTCTATTCATTTTTTTAATTGGATCATAATAGTTTCCCTATAGAGTTTTTTGAGTTCCTTTTATATTCTGGTTATTAATCCCTTGTCAGATGGATAGTTTGGAAATATTCTCTCCCATTACGTAGGTTGTCTCTTCAGTTTATTGAATATTTTCTTTGCTGTGCACAAGCTTTTTAACTTAATGTGTTTCCATTAGTTTATTTTTACTTTGGTTGCCTGTGCTTCGAAGGTATTACTGAAAAAATCTTTGCCCAGTCCAACATTCTGCAGAGCTTCCCCAATGTTTTATTTTAGTAGTTTTGTAATTTAAGACCTTAAATTTAAGTCTTTAAGCCATTTTGATTTGATTTTTGCATACGGTGAGAGATAGAGTTCTTTCTTTCTTCTGCATATGAATATCCAGTTTTTCCAACACTATTTATTGAAGAGACTGTTCTCTCCCTGATGTATGTTCTTGGCACCTATGTCAAAAATGAGTTCACTGTAGATGTATAATTTTATTTCTGGGTTCTCTATTTTGATCCGTTGTTCTATGTTTCTGTTTTTATGCCAGTACCATTTTCTTTGGTTACTATAGCTCTGTAGTATACTTTGAAGTCAGGTAATGTGATTCCTCCAGTTTCGTTCTTTTTGCTTAGGATTACTTTGGCTATTCTTGGCCTTCTGCGGTTCCACATAAATTGTTGAATTTTTTAAAATTTTTATGAAGGATGTTATGGGTACTTTGATAGGGATTGCATTGAATATGTAGATTGCTTTGGGTAGTATGGATACTTTAACAATACTGATTCTTCTTATCGATGAACGTGGAATATATTTCAATTTTTTTGTATCCTCTTCAATTTATTGCATCAATATTTTATCATTTTCATTGCTCTTTCACTTCTTTGGTTAAGTTTATTCCTAGGTATTTTATTTGTGGTTAATGTCAATGGCATTTTTCTTGATTTCTTCTTCATATTGTTCATTATTGGCATATAAAAATGCTACTGAATTTTGTTTGTTGATTTTATATCCTGCAACATTCTTGATTTTTTGTATCAGTTCTAATAGTTTTTGGTGGAATCTTTAAGCTTTTCCAAATATAAGATTATATTATGTCCAAACAAGGATATTTTGACTTCTTTCTTTCCAATTTGAATGCCCTTTATTTTCTTCTATTGCCTGATTGCTCCAGCTAGAACTTACAGTACTATATTGAATAACAGCAATGAAAGTGGGCAGGATAGCAGACTCTCCTCTGGCCCAGGGCAGGTCAAGAAATGCTGTCCAAGAACCAAGGAATCCATAAACCCAAGATTTTGCCTGGTGCTTTACCTTCACCCTTCTCCTGCTCCCTGACCTCCTGCATCTGAGCTAGTATCTAAAGTGCAAGACAAAGTCTTTGCTTTTTCCTCTCTAGCTGAATGAGGACTTTATCATTCTAGCTCCCATAGCTGGGAATGTGCTGGGTCTCACTTGAAGCCAGTACATCTCAGAGTCTCACCCAAGTCCCATGCCATACACCTGGCTATTCTTGCTCTTTCTTCAAGGCTCAAAGGCACTTTTGTCAGCAGGTAATGAATCCTGCCATGACTGGGTCTTTCCCTTAAAGGCAGCAGGTTTCTTTCTGACCCAAAGTGTGTCTAGAAATGTCATTCAGACCTAGGTCATGGAATGGGGGGCTCATCTCTCTGCTCAGTGCCCTATCCTATTGTGACTGAACTGGTATCCAAGATGCAAGACAAAGTCCTCTTTACTCTTCCCTCTCCTCTCCTCATAGGAAAGGAAGGGGTCTCTTTTGGAACTGCTAGCTGTGCTACCTGTGTTTGTGGGAGGGGTGTTGCAAGCATTCTATTAGCCACCCCAGCTAATGTCTCAGGGTAATTATACTGACCTTGTAGAATGGGTTTGGAAGTATTTCTTCTTCCTTTATTTTTTGGAACAGTTTGAGTAGGATTGTACTAGTTTTCTTTATAAATTAGTGAAATTCAGCAGCGAAGTCATTGGGTTCTGTATTTTTCTTTGCTGGTATATTTTTATTATGGCTTTGATCATATTATTTGTTATTTGTCTATTCTGGTTTTGAATTTCTTCATGGATCCAACTTGGTAGGCTGTATGTGTCTGGGAATTTATCCATTTCTTCTATTTTTCCAGTTTATTGGCATATAGTTACTCACTGTATTCTCTAATGATCTTTGAACTTCTGTGGTTTAGTTGTAATGTCTCCTTCTTTATCTCTGATTTTATTTGGGTCTTCTCCCTTTTTTTCCTAGTTAGTCTGGCTAAAGGTTTGTCAATTTTGTTTAACTAATTGAAAAATCAACTTTTTGTTTTGTTGATCTTTTGTATTTTTTTAATTTCAATTTTATTTATTGGTGATTCAGATCTTTATTATTACTTAGATCACTTAAACTAAAAGGCATTTAGGTTAATTACCATATATTTTATATTCCTGTTCATTTAAGCCAGTCTGAATAAAATTCCTTAAGAGACCTCTGGCTGACTATGTCAGATTTTATCATGTAGACACAACATATAAGTTAATATATGTTTAGTCTTGAGAGAGTAATGCAGACTCACTGGTTTACAAAAGACAGCTGGATTCAAATTGTACTTCTGACAAAATGGGACCTGTTAACAGGGCTAAATCTTACTTGCCTCATAGGTGATCTAATGAAGACTGTTGACCAACATTTTGGATAAAGTAGTTTGGTTTAATTTTTTTTAGCATATTTTTTCCTTTTTCTAGTTTCAAATGAGTTTATGGTTAAATTTTTAATGTTTCCATTTTAGCTAGAAGTGAATGAATTGTATAATAAAAATGAATTCTTCAAATGGCCTTGAATTAGTAATGAACCTACCTTTTGTTTGCTGCTCTGGTTTATTTGACTAGTCAATGTGGATGAAAAAAAATTAGCCGTTTGTGTTTTTGCTGTTTTGTTTTGTTTCTTGCTTTTTCTGGCCCTTGCATAGAAGACAAAGCAATTTTTATGCCCATCAGAGATATCTTATATTACAGCATTGAGTTCAAGATTTTGATCTGAGAACCTAGCTTTTATAAAACTTTACCTAGGTCTTTTTCTTATAGACTATTAAACCTTTAATTAACTGTTCCATCACCCTAAGCATTTATTAGTCAGGCAAACCTAAATTTACATTTCCAAAAAGTATTTAGGTTGTTGGTTGCCATGGAGCTGTTGTAAACTGCAAAGCAATTAATTTCAAAGCCCTTTAAGAATTTAAAAGAAAATCTTGGCTGGAACGCCATAAGCAGTGAGTTTTCTCAACACCTGCAGAAGAGTCAGCTGGTTCAAAATAGGTATAAAAACAGAGATAGCTAAACAGAAAACTTAGAAAGCTTTACATGTTAACTCTATAGTTGCAGGGCTTTTTTTAAGAGAGTTCAAATAATGACAATTTGAGCTCTCAATTTTCCTTGACATAATTTTCTTATCAGTTAAAATCTCTTTCTCATGTGCATGAGGAAGAGAATCAGATGGCCAACAGGAGCCATGACTAGATTGCAGCACCCGACAGAGCAGCTTGCGGAAGCTCGCATTGTGATTTTTAGCTCCAGATTGACTGCAAGAACAAACCAGCAATTCCAGGAGGACCTACAGACCCTCTGAAGGAAGCAAACTGCTCCTGCAGGACTGGGAGACACCCTAAATACTGTGAGTGCCCCAACTGCAGAAGTAGAAAAGGGAGACTCCCCTCTCCTGCACACACACCTCCACTGGAGAAGCTGAAGGTCTGTTTGTGGGGGAAGTTTCTGACCTTACCTGGAGTTGAGCCAATTTAGTGAGCCAAGTGAAATACAGGGGTAGAGGAAGCAGCAGAAAGGCTCTGGGAGCTCACTGCAGCCCCTAGCAGGCCATTCCTGCCTGGCACCACAGGAATCCATCAGGTGGGTGATCAGAGAGTCAGAGGGTATAACTCCACAAGGAGAAGGAAATGTCTAGCTGAATTTTGTAACAATTTGAACAGGGCAAGAAGCCTCCTAGCCAGAACTCAGGGGAAGGCGTAAAATCTGGTGTGCAGAATCCACAGGCAGCGGAAGGACCAAGCCCTTTTCTCTCTAAGCTGGGAGGTGGGTAACCCAGGGCAAATTTTCAGTCTCATCACGCCCTCCATCTGGAAACAGATTCAGAGCTGTTGGGGAGAGCACGGTTGGAGTGAGAACAGCCCTTCGTTTTGGGTGACAGCTGAGTGAGGTCTGTGACAGCTACCTTTCCCCCACTTCCAAGACAACCTGCATGAATCAGCAGACACAGCCATAATCCTATTAGGTACACAGCTCCAGTGACTGAGAATTTCACCCCCATTCCCCGCAGCAGCTGTAGCAAGACCTGCCCAAGGAGAGTCTGAGCTCAAACACGTCTAGTCCCACCTCCACTTGGTGGTCCTTCCCTATCCACCCTGGTAGTGGAAGACAAAGGACATATAATCTTGGGAGTTCTAGGGCCATGCCTGCTGCTAGTGCCTCTCTATACTACTGTAGCTGATGCTTTCTGGAAATTGCCTCCTAGGAGGAGGTCAACCAGCACAAAAATAGAGCATTAAAACACCAAAGCTGAGAACCTTCACAAAGTCCATTGCACCCCCCTGCCACCTTCACTGGAACAGGCACTGGTATCCCTGGCTGAGAGACCCATACGCAGTTCACATCACAGGACTCTGTGCAGACAACCCCCAGTTCCAGCCTGGAGCCAGGTAGACTCACTGGGTGGCTAGACCCAGAAGAGAGACAACAATCACTGCAGTTTGACTTACAGGAAACCACATCCATAGGAAAAGGGGAGGGGTACTACATCAAGCAAACACCCCATGAGACAAGAGAATCTGAACAACAGCCTTCAGCTGTAGACCTTCTGTCTGACAGAGCCTACCCAAATGAGAAGGGACCAGAAAACCAACCCTGGTAATATGACAAAACAAGGCTCTTCAACTTCACCCCAAACTAGTTTACCAGCAATGGATCCAAACCAAGAAGAAATCCCTGATTTACCTGAAAAAGAATTCAGGAGGTTAGTTATTAAGCTAAACAGGGAGGGACCAGAGAAAGGCAAAGCCCAATGCAAGGAAATCCAAAAAATGATCCAAGAAGTGAAGGGAGAAATATTCAAGGAAATAGATAGCTTAAAGAAAAAACAGTCAAAAATTCAGGAAACTTTGGACACACTTTTAGAAATGTGAAATGCTCTGCAAAGTCTCAGTGATAGAATTGAACAAGTAGAAGAAAGAAATTCAGAGCTTGAAGACAACGTTTTTGAATTAACCCAATCCAACAAAGACAAAGAAAAAGAATAAGAAAATATGAACAAAGTCCCCAAGAAGTCTGGGATTGTGTTAAATGATCAAACTTAAGAATAATTGCAGCACTTTGGGAGGCCAAGGTGGGTGGATCAGGAGGTCAGGAGATCGAGACCATCCTGGCTAACACGGTGAAACCCTGTCTCTACTAAAAAAATACAAAAAAAATTAGCTGGGCATGGTGGTGGGTGCCTGTAGTCCCAGCTACTCGGGAGGCTGAGACAGGAGAATGGCGTGAACCTGAAAGGCAGAGCTTGCAGTGAGCCGAGATTGAGCCACTGCACACCAGCCTGGGTGACAAAGCAAGACTCTGTCTCAAAAAAAAAAAAAAAAAAAAAATTGGTGCTCCTAGGAAGGAGAGAATTCTAAAAGCTTGGAAAACATATTCAGGGGAACAATTGAGGAAAATTTCTACAGCCTTGCTAGAGACCCAGACGTCAAAATACAAGAAGCACAAAGAACACCTGGGAAATTCATCACAAAAAGATCGTCGTCTAGGCACATTGTCATCAGGTTATCCAAAGTTAAGATGAAGGAAATAATCTTAAGAGCTGTGAGACCGAAGAACCAGGTAACCTATAAAATAAAACCTATCAGATTAATAGCAGATTTCTCAGCTGAAACCCTACAGGCTAAAGGGGATTGGATCCCCATCTTTAGCCTCCATAAACAAAACAATTATCAGCCAGGAATTTTGTATCCAGTGAAACTTAGCATCATATATGAAGGAAAGATACAGTCATTTTTAGACAAACAAATGGTGAGAATTTGCCATTACCAAGCACCACTACAAGAACTGCTAAAAGGAGCTCTAAATCTTTAAACAAATCCTGGAAACACATCAAAACAAAACCTCTTTAAAGTATAAATCACATAGGACCTATAAAATTAAAATACATGTTCAAAAGCAAAAACAAAAAATAAACAAACAAAAAAGACGCAGACAACAAAAAGTATGATGAATGCAACAATACCTCACACTTCAATACTATTGAATATAAATGGTTAAAATGCTCCATTTAAAAGATATAGAACTGCAGAATGGATAAGAACTCACCGACCATCTGCTGCTCTCAGGACACTCACCTAACACATAAGGACTCACATAAACTTAAGATAAAGGGATGGAAAAGGGCATTTCATGCAAATAGACACCAAAAGCAAGCAGGGGTAGCTGTTCTTATATCAGACAAAACAAATTTTAAAGCAACAGCAGTTAAAAGAGACAAAGAGGCACATTATATAACAGTAAAAGGCATTGTCCAACAGGAAAATATCACAATCCTAAACATATGTGCACCTAACACTGGAGCTCCCAAATTTATAAAACAATTGCTAATAGACCTAAGAAATGACATAGACAGCAACACAATAATAGCGGGGGACTTCAATACTCCACTGACAGCACAAGACAGGCCATCAAGATAGAAAGTCAACAAAGAAACAATGGATTTAAACTATACCTTGGAACAAATAGCCTTAACAGATATATACAGAGCATTTCATCCAATAACCACAGAACACACATTCTATTCAACAGCGCATGGAACTTTCTCCAAGATAGACCATATGATAGGCCATAAAACGAGCCTCAATAAATTTAAGAAAATTGAAATTATAACAAGCACTCTCTCAGACCATAGTGGAATAAAACTGGAAATCAACTCCAAAAGAAACCTTCAAAAGCATGCAAAAACATGGAAATTAAATAACCTGTTCCTGAATGAGCAATGGGTCAAAAACAAAATCAGGATGGAAATTTAGTAATCATTCCAACAGAATGACAATAATGACACAACCTATGAAGACCTCTGGGATACAACAAAGGTGGTGCAAAGAGGAAAGTTCATAGCCCTGCGCACCTGTATCAAAAAGTCTGAAAGTGCACAAACTGACATCCTAAGGTCACATCTCAAGGAACTAGATAAACAAGAACAAACCAAACGCAAACCCAACGGAAGAAAGGAAATTACCAAGATCAGAGCAGAACTAAATGAAGTAGAAACAAATAAACAGAAAGTAATACAAAAGAGAAATGAAACAAAAAGCTGGTTATTTGAAAAGATAAATAAAATTGATAGACCGTTAGGAAGATTAACCAAGAAAAGAAGAGAGAAAATCCAAATAATCTCACTAAGAAACAAAACAGGAAATATTACAACTGACACCACTGAAATACAAAAGATCATTCACAGTTACTATGAACACCTTTATGCACATATACTAGAAAACCTAGAAGAGATGCATAAATTCCCAGAAAACTGCAACCCTCCTAGCTTATGTCAGGAAGATTAGATATCCTGAACAGACCAATAACAAGCAGCGAGATTGAAATGGTAGTTAAAAAATTACGAACATAAGAAAGTTTAAGACCACAGATGGATTCATAGCAGAATTCTACCAGACATTCAAAGAAGAATTGGTACCAGTCTTTTTGACACTCTTCCACATGATAAAGAAAGAAGCAACCCTCCCCAATTCATTTTATGAAGCCAGCATCACCCTAATATCAAAACGAGGAAAGAACATAACAAAAAAATAAAACTACAGACTGATATCCTTGATGAACATTGATGCTAAAGTCCTTAACAAAATACTACCTAACCAAATCCAACAACATGTCAAAAAGATAATCCACCATGATCAAGTGGGTTTCATACCACGGATGCAGGGATCCAGGAATGGTTTAACATAAGCAAGTCAATAAATGTGACACACCACATAAACAGAATTAAAAACAAAAATGACATGATCATCTCAATAGATGCAGAAAAACCATTCAACAAAATCCAGCATCCCTTTACGATTAAAACTCCCAGCAAAATCGGCATTCAAGGGACATACCTTAATGTCATAAAAGCCATCTATGACAAACTCACAGCCAAGATAATACTGAATGGGGAAAAGTTGAAAGCCTTCTTTCTGAGAACCGGAACAAGACAAGGATGCCCACTATCACCACTCCTCTTCACCATAGTACGAGAAGTCCTAGCCAGAGCAACCAGACAAGAGAAATAAGTAAAAGGCATCCAAATCAGTAAGGAGGAAGTCAAACTGTCACTGCTTGCTGACGATATGATTGTTTACCTTGAAAACCCTAAGTACCTCTCTAGAAAGCTCCTAGAACTGATAAAAGAATTCAGCAAAGTTTCCATATACAAGATTAATGTACATAAATCAGTAGCTCTTCTATACACCAACAGTTACCAAGTGGAGAATCAAATCAAGAACTCAATCCCTTTTACAATAGCTGCAAAATAAATAAATAAATAAATAAATAAATAAATAAATAAATAAATAAAATACTTAGGAACATACCTAACAAAGGAGTCGAAAGACCTCTACAAGGAAAACTACAAAACACTGCTGAAAGAATTCATAGATGACACAAAGAAATGGAAACACATCTCATGCTCATGGATGAGTTAGAAGCAATAGGGTGAAAATGACCATAATGCCAAAAGCAATCTACAAATTCAACACAATCTCCAACAAAATACTTCCATCATTCTTCACAGAATTAGAAAAAACAATTCTAAAATTCATATGGAACCAAAAAAGAGCCCACATAGCCAAAGCAAGAGTAGGCCAAAAGAACATATCTGGAGGCATCACACTACTTGATTTCAAACTATACTATAAGGCCATAGTCACCAAAACAACATGGTACTGGTATAGACCAATGAAACAGAATAGAAAACCCAGAAATAAAATCAAATAATAAAATCAAATAGCCAACTGACCTTTGACAAAGCAAACAAAAACATAAAGTGGGGAAAGGACACCCTTTTCAACAAATGGTGCTGGGATAATTGGCTAGGTACATGTAGGAGAATGAAACTGGATCCTCATCTATCACCTTACACAAAAATCAATTCAAGATGGATTAAGGACTTAAACCTAAGACCTGAAACTATAAAAATTCTAGAAGATAACATTGTAAAAACCCTTCTACACATTGGCTTAGGCAAGGATTTCATGACCAAGAACCTAAAAGCAAATGCAATAAAAACAAAAATAGCTGGTACTTAATTAAACTAAAGAGCTTTTGCATGGCAAAAGGAACAGTCAGCAGACTAAGCAGACAACCCACAGAGAGGGAGAAAATCTTCACAATCTATGTACCTGACAATGGACTAATATCCAGAATCTACAGAGAACTCAAACAAATCAGTAAGAAAAAAATAAACAGTCCCATCAAAAAGTGGGCTAAGGACATGAAAAGGCAATTCTCAAAAGAAGATGTACAAATAACCAACAAACATATGAAAAATATGCTCAACATCACTAATGATCAGGGAAATGCAAATCAAAACCACAATATGATACCACCTTATTCCTGCAAGAATGGCCAGAATCAAAAAATAAAAATACTGTACTGTAGATGCTGGTGTGGATGCAGTGAACAGGGAACACTTCTACACTGCTGTTGGGAATGTAAATTAGTACAGACACTATGGAAAACAATGTGGAAATATGGAAATACGGAAAGCAATATTTCCTTAAAGAGCTAAAAGTAGAACTACCATTTGATCAGTAATTCCACTACTGGGTATCTACCCAGAAAAAAAGAAGTCATTATTTGAAAAAGATACTTGCACACGCATGTTCATAGTGGCCCAATTCACAATAGCAAAATCATGGAACCAACCCAAATGCCCATCAATCAATAAGTGGATAATTAAACTGTGATATATATATATTTATATATATATATCACATCATATATATATATATGAGAATATATATATATATGAGAATATATATATATATGAGAATATATATATATATGAGTATATATATATATATGAGAATATATATATATATGAGAATATATATATATATGAGAATATATATATATATATGAGAATATATATATATATATATGAGAATATATATATATATATGATGGAATGAATTAACAGCATTTGCAGTGACCTGGATGAGTTTGGAGACTATTATTCTAAATGAAGTAACTCAGGAATTGAAAACCAAACATCGTATGTTCTCACTGATATGTGGGAGCTAAGCTATGAGGATGCAAATGAATAAGAATGATACAGTGGACTTTGGGGACTTGGGGGGAAGAGTGGGAGGGGCGAGGGATAAAAGACTACTAATATGGTACAGTGTGTACTGCTCAGGTGATGGGTGTACCAAAATCTCACAAATCACTAAAGAACTTACTCATGTAACCAAATGCCACCTGTACCACAATAACTATGGAAAAAATAAATAAATTAATTAAAAAATATGAATGAGAATATTCATAATATGTAGCCAGCTGAGGTCTCAAATAACCTGGTATGTCTTAATGTTTGAGAATCTCATTCCATTTCTTCTTAACCTCCTGAGAGCAAAGAAAATGCTATAAATCTTATCAGAGCATATCAGGAGTTTTGACTGCTGTTGCTGATTGTGGTGACTGCCCTAGCGGCTTTTAATTACTCATCCTGTATCCACTGTTCAGAAAGTTTATTTTTGCTCTTGAGAGATTTTTAGAAATAAGCAAGAGAAAAGAGCTGACTCCTTTACAGACATGTATACCAAGATGACACCAAGATAAGACTTTTCACAAAAATTTTTAAGCTAGGCATGCAGATCAAACAAAATATTAAATTAGACACACAGAATTAAAAGTGAATTTGACAGAAAAGACATGCCTCAAAGACATAACATAATTTCTGTTGAAACCAGGGTTCTCAAATGAGGACACTTGACTTTATACAAGAATGGACTTGCCAGAAAAGGCAAGAAGTCCTTTATCACCCCAGGAGGGATGTCAGATTCTTTATTAAGGCAGCCTTATCCAAATTAGATTCTGGATAAAGGAAGAGCGTCAACTAAAAAATGGAAGGCTCAGCCTGACAGAAGATTCCCCAGGGCAGAAAGGCAAGCTGTGGAAACAGAGTTCAAAGGGCTCCAGTGAGTACTGTACACTGTTTCCAAGAATTGTCAATTCCTTCTGAAAGTGACCTTACATAAGATCCCACTTCTGACACCATTTTGTTAACCTAAATAACAAACATAGAGAGGATGTCTGAAAGAAATGATATTTATTCAGAAATCGGGAATTGGAATGGGAATACTTATGCCATTGTATACTTTGTGTGTAGTCAGGAAGGTAAAAGAAGACAAAGGTTTTTAAAGAGAATTATACAATTGTTTTGAGATAATTGTCTTTAGTGACACCAGCCTAGTTTTGGACAGGCAGTTGCTGGGCAGATGTCCTCAGAGAAGGATTGTTTGTATAAGCTTGTGTTGACCTTTGTGCAAGACTGTGGGTTTTGTGCTGAATCCTTTGTGACAGTTTTTGTTATGAGGCATTTAAGCATGGAAACCCTCCGTCTTGGCCTTTCCTTGCTTTTATGGGTCAGTTTTGTAGTACTGATGTAATACATATCTCAAGCTTAATATTGCAAAGAAAGGAAGTCTTGATTTACTGAGCCACAGTAACTCTAATGTTCATCTTTCTTATTGTGTAAATAGTATCATTGTATACCCAGTTGAAATTTCACATAAAAATTATAAGCATTATTCTTTTCCTTTCTTCATTAAATGGAGAACCAACATGCTTTTGTGAGACATTAAAAAATTGAGGATTGATAATCCATCTAGCTCGAAATGAGACTAACAATATCAATATTCTATTTTCATAAGCTGTCAAGGAAAGTCCTATTTTTAGAATAGCATGTTGCATTAGTTTCCTATTGCAACTATAACAAATCATCACAAATCTGGGGGCTTAAAACAACACAATTTTAGTATCTTACAGGTTTGAGGTCAGAAGGTGATAATGGGTCTTAGTGGTCTAAAATCAAGGTAATCACAGTGCTGCATTCTTTCTGGAGGCTCCAGGAGATAATCTGTTTTCTCACTTTTTCCAACTTCTAGAGGCTGCTTGCATTCCTTGATTTATGGCTCTTTTCTCCTCTATCAAAGCCAGAAGTGTAGCATCTTCAAATCACTGATTCTGCTTTGGTTGTCACATTATCTTCTCCCTTTTATAAGAACCTTCGTAATTACATTGGTCCCACCCAAATAATAGAGCGTACTCTCTCCATCTCTAGATCCTCAATTTAGTTACATCTGCAAAGTTCCTTTTGTCATGCTAGGTCACATCTTTACAGGCTCTGGGGATTAGAACATGGACATCATGGATATCTTTGGGGGCCATCATTCTGTCTACCACACATACCCGAACTAAAACCAAACCAAAGGAAAAAAAATTCACCAAAAAAATTACTATTGGGTAAAAGGAAAAACAAAAAACCAGAATATTCACATTTTGGTGAATTCTCTATTAAAATCAAGGAGACTAAGAAATGTTTGTTTTTGCATATTAATAGTTATTATCAGTTTTACTGTTTTAATTTTAATACTCAGGTTTAGATGTTTTCAATAATAATCTATAATGTAAGTACTTCTATGTGAAGGTACAACGATCTGTATTGAAATAAAACTATGTCAATTAGGTTCCCAATTTTACAAAACTCTACAGGAAAAACTTTAACACACCCAAGGCAAAGTATCCAAGGTAAAATACATCTGTTCCCATACATCCAAAAAGAGAGTACAACTACCATATTTTATAGATAAGCATTTGACTTGTGGCAACACATGAGTTTGAGAAAACCAACTTTATTCCTGGTGAAATATATTACATTGCTCCTAAAACTTACGAGTTATATTGGGTACTAGAAATATCCTCTGTGTGGTGTACACAGTTAACTGGTCTTGCAGGTAATCATTTATATTCTTGAAGCTTTCAAAATAAATTGGCCTCCTTTCAGGTCTTCATATTTAAGCCCCTTTTTGTTCCTAGAAGGAGCAGCAATGCTCCTATTAAGGTGCTGATTGACTGACACAATTCAAAGTTTCCTAAGAATTAAGTGGCCATTGACTCTGAAACAGCCTGCCAGATGGGAACCAGCTAGGAGTTATTCTGGATTTTACATTCCCTCCTCACCTCCCCAGTAAAGTATCTGTCAATATTACACCTCCAAGACAGACTGAGAGTTTGAGTTCATCTACTTTTCTCTATTTCTGCTTTCACTTTTCTTGTGAAAGTTGTCATTCCTGTTGCACACTAATGCAATAGCCTCTTGCTGGTCACCTTTCTTCCATTTTTGCTTTTTAAATATCTGTACTTTACATAGAGCCTAGATGATCTTTTAAAAAAGCAAATCAAATGAAAAACTGTATGTTTCCTAGAAGATATTAAAATAGAAAATCTAGATAACCTTGGGTATGGCAATGACTTTTTAGATACAGTACCAAAGACACAATTCATGGAAGAAATTATTAATATGATAGATTTTGTTAAAATTACAAACTTCTCTGTGAAGATACCATTAACCAAATGAGAAAAGAAGCCACAGACTGGGAGAAAATATTTGTAAAAGGCATATTTGATAAGAGAGGGTGATCAAAATATACACAGAACCCCTCAAACTCAATAATAAAAAAATCCAATTAAAAATGAGCAAAAGACCTGCATTAAATCACTGCTCAACCTGAACTAAAACTAAAACACCTCATCAAAGAAGACATAAAAATGGGGAAGCAGCATGTGAAAAGATGCCCAACATCATATATCATTAGGGAACTGCAAATTAGAACAATTGAGATACCACTACATACCTATTAGGAAGGCCAAAATTCTAAACACTGACACCAAATGCTGGCAAGACGTGGCTTGCTATGGACTGAATGTTGTGTTCCTTCCCAAATTCTTATGTTGTAATCCTAATCTCTGAACTGATTGTATTGGGAAATGAGGACTTTGGGAGATAATTAGCTGATGAGCATGGTGCCCTGATGATGGGATTAATGCCCTTAAAAGAAACACAAGGGAGCTTGCTTTCTCTTTCTCTCTTTACCATGTAAGGATATAAAAAGAAGACAGCTGTCTGTAAACAAAGAAGAGGGTTTGCAACGAGAACCTGATCATGCTGTCACATCGATCTCAGACTTCCAGCTTCCAGAACTGTAAGAAATAAATGACTTTTGTTTAAGTCACCCGGTCTATGGTATTCTATTATAACAGCCCACACTGACTAAGACAGGAAATAACAAAAACTCTCATTTATTACTGGTGGGAATGTAAAATAGTTCAGCTACTTTGGAAGGCAGTTTGGCAGTTTCTTAGAAAACTAAACATAATCTTACCATATGAACCATTTGATCAAGCAATCATGCTCCTTGATAGTTACCCAAAGGAGTTGAAAACTTAGGTTCACATAAAAACCTCTATATGGATATTCATAGCAGCTTTATCCATAATGGCCAAAACTTGGAAGCAACACAGACATCTCTCAGTAAGTGAATGGATAAATAAACTGTGGTACACTCAGACAATGCAATATTATTTGGCACAAAAATTAGTTATCATGCTATGAAAAGACAGAGGAAACTTAAATACACATTACTCAGTGAAAGAAGCCAATTTGAAAAGGCTACATAGTGTATGATTCCGGCTGTATGATATTGTGAGAAAGACAAAACTGTGGAGATAGTAAAAAGATCAGTGGTTGCCAAGAGTTAGGAAAGAAGGAGGTATGAATTGGTAGGTACAGAAAATTTTTAGGTCAGTGAAACTACTCTGTATGGTAATATAATGATGGATATGTCATTACACATATGCCAAAATCCATTGAATAAACATCAAGAGTGAACACTGATGTAAACTATGGACTGTAAGTGATAAATGATGTGTCAATGTAGATTTACCCATTGGAAAAATTGTAGCCTTCTGTTGAGGGATACTGATAGTAGGAGAAATTGTCTCTGTGTGGAACAGGGGGTGTTTGGGAATTCTGTAGTTTTCACTCAATTTTTCTGTGAATGTAAAGCTGCTCTAAAAACAGTTCATTCTCTTTAAAAGCAGAAAAATTTTGAAAATTATAAAATATAAATAAAATGATTAAGATCAAAGAGTAAAATAAAAAAATTAAAATTACAAGGTCTAATGCTGAGCCAGCACTTGCATTAAGCTGAGAGCAGAGCCTGCGAGTATTTTGTGCCCTAGGCAGCTCACTTGCCTCACCCTAGTCTGGCCCTGAAGTGGAAACCTAATCTTCAATAGCAATCTCCAGTGCCACAGAAAATTGGAAAGAGATTGATGTGGTATGGACTATCTAAGTTCTCAAAGTCTTCGAAAAATTTGGTAGTTATGATAATGACAATGACTAGAAGCCTCAGAAGGTATTCCTCCCAAAGAATAGATAAGAACCTCAGAGATTAATTGAGGAAAAATATTGAATAGTTATACTACTAACCCAAAAAATCTCCTGGGAACACTGTGATCTTGAGGCTAAAGATGAAGATTCTATGTCAAAAGTCATGTTCTTTCTGGACCTTATTATAGTTTATTCATGACATTGAGCCCTTGCCTACAGCCAGTCTCTGGTGTTGGAATCTCTCAGAACCCAACCTGGCTTCTTAGATTTCCAGACTTGGAAATTATTATTATTATTATTATTATTAATTATTAATAATAATTATTATTTTAAAAACAGAATCACCACTGCAGGTATTTTAATTTCCCAGTCAGAGCCAGGCTAAAAAAATTAATAATTTTCTCTTATATCCATTTTAATTCTAGGATTTATCTTTACCTTTAGAGTGACACACTGATGTGTAATCTTTAAAAGTATCTCTAAAAAGGGGCACACTATAGAGAATTCTACTTTTTGAAAGTATTGTACCATCATCATTACCAGTATTCAAAGAATACAAAGCACTATAAAATGTTGGTAATTCAGAAATTCTCTAAAACAGCAGTTTAATAAATTGAATCAATTTGGTAATTTAAAATGGGTTTTTTCAATGAAGATCTTATTCATATTAGTTAGAAGGAAAAGCAACCATGACTCTACTTTTATTTTTTTACTTCTGCATGAGCAACTTTCATGTTTCATTTATCACCAGAGTGTAGCACAGTGTAGCCAAAGCACAATTTGGAACTAAAAAGTTGGAAAAACACGTGGAAAATTCAAGGCAAATTATAGTGTTATCATTTTGTTAGGCTCATTTGGTTGCAGAGAATGAGTCTGCATGCCACCTGATGTAATGAGAGTTTATTATGGAATATATGTGTGTATATATATATTTTATCTATCTATCTATCTATATATTATATACACACATATACACACATAATTTCAAGAATCTGAAAAACTAGGCTATATCTTTTTAATGGAGATTGGACCCAAAATGTTCTTTAGAATTCGAGACAGTTCCAGATAACAGAGCCTGGGGAATTAGTAAATATTTATTCCAATTGCCTGCCTTTAGAGCAACCAGGCTATGCTCTGTGAGTCAGCTTCTATCGGTCTCTTGAATTCTCTCACAAATGGTCCCTTACCCTCCACTCCCAGAGTCACAAATCAGCAGACTTACACAGAATAAGCCCAGGAAACAATGCTTTGTTAAGACAGTACATGTTTGGCTTTTTTTTTTTTTTAACTGCATTTGAATGTCTTTTAAGCAGTATTTGCATTTTCCAGTTTGCCACAAGCTGTCCACAGCTCCTCCTCGGTTGAGGGGTGAGGAGTCTCATTTAGGAGGAGTTTGAGTAGAACATTTGCATGATGTTCAGGGCCCGCTGTGCCCTGTCCTAGTGGAAAGAACACCTACGGATTCACCCTGTCACATATTAGCAGTGCATGCCTGGTCTAGCTGCTTTGCTTTTATATGCCCCTGTTTCATTATATATAAAATTATATAATTTAAATACTACTTACCCTGTGTTGATTAATTTTATGTATTAACTTGATTGAGCTAAGGAAAACCCAGATAGCTGGTAAAATATAGTTTCTGGGTGTGTCTCTGATGGTGTTTACAGAAAACACTAGTATTTGAATAGGTAGACTGAGTAAAGATCGCTCTCACCAATGGAGGTAGGAACCATCCAGTCTGTTGAGGCCCTGAATAGAACAAGAAGCTGGAGGAAAGAATAATTTGTTCAATCTGAGCTGGCACTTTTATCTTTTCTTTGGTCTTTGCTGTTCCTGGTTCTCAGGCCTTCATTCTCTATCTGGGTTTACACTATTAGGCCTCATGCCCTGGTCCCCACTGTTCTCAGGCCCTACTATTTGAACTGAGTTATACCACTGGCTTTTCTAGTTCTCAGGTTGCAGACAGCAGATTGTGGAACTTCTTGGCCTCCATAATTGCTTGAACCAATTCCTATAATTGTCTGTCTATCTATCTATGTAACTATGTATCTATCTATCTACCTACCTACCTACCTACCTCCTGCTGGTTCTGTTTCTCTGGAGAACCCTGACTAAAGTATTATTCCAAATAGCTATTTTGGAAATTAAATGGAAAATAAAACAGCAGAATGCTTAAAAGACCATGTATTAGACTCACACAATCTAAGTTCAAATTGCCTCTGCCATGGAGTAGTTGGTAATCTTAATCTCTTTGTAAGCTTCTTTTTTCTCATCTGTGAAATGGAGATAATAATAATGCCTTTCACATATGATTATTTTGAGTATTAAATGAAGTACTAATCATATATAGTAAGGATCATTTAATACAATGACATATATTGCACCATGCAACACAATAAATTTTAGCTGTTATTATCATCCAATGTGAAAGTTGAATGTTACAATTTTGCAGTGGATTAGATTTCTCTCTTCCTTGGAACTATTCTTAATAATTTGAACACTAGAAATTTACCATTCATCTTACTTCTTAGTAGAGTATTTTAGAACTTGCAAAGGTTTTCTTAGTTGACCAGTATTTTATCTAATTACTATCATTCTATTCTGCCCTATAATCACTGCCTCTACCCATACTTCTATTCCTCCTAATTATAAAAAACTTCAACTTTCTACCTTTTAAAATAATCTGACACTGTGTCTGAGCACTCAGATTTTAAAACCATAATAAATAAATTTTAGCAGAATTATTCCAAATATATATAATGTATTTAATTGTCTTCACAAATGAAAATGTTCTGGACATGGTTTGAGTCTTTACTCATGATGCAAAACCACTGCCATGAATACCATTTTTTTGTGCTATGTTTTAACAGGGTGCTACGTTATTACTCAAGTAACCCTAGACAGCCCTAATAACACTAGAACTATTACATCAAATTGGTCCCATTACTTTTAAGGGTTCGAATTGGCAGTTCTTTTTTTTTTTTTTTTTCTATCTACTCCTTTGCTTTCTTGCTGTTAGTGCATTTTTTTGTTTTTAGTCTAATGCTGACATAGTCTAATGTTAACATAGGGAAGATCTGGTATATAACGAAGGAATCTGGCTTTCTTAATTTATTACATGTTGGCCCTTATTTATCTCTTTGGAGTAAAGTGAATGGGCTTTGTGATAGACATTTCCTTGGTTGCCAAGCTGTTAATGTTGGTTTGTTTTTGTTTTGTTTTGTTTTGTTTTGTTTCTTCACTTTGCACATATTTATTTGAGCTAAAGCATTGAGCAGGACTACCCCTATGCAATAGAGTTGAGAGGGTGACTGTGCATTATGGAGTTTACAGAATGTTGAAAAGCTCCCACTCTACACCAATTTGAATTCCTCAATAGTTTCCTTACATATCTACTGAGATGCTAGAAATTATAATGTCAGGATGTAGTTTTAACACTTTCAGGTTTACTGTGTAAAATAGTCTATTACAGGTAGCAATTTTAAGAAATTTAGATGACGAAGAACTGAGCATCTTAGATATCTCTGAACCAAATACATTGTATTTTCTTTTTACTTTTGTTCATATTGTCTGATAAAGGATTTTGGAATTGAGAAATGATAACTGGTTACCTTTACAGTGGAATGTTGAGCATTATCTCAAGGACACTTCTGGGGTTACGGGATTCTGTAAGAATAAGTGCCTTTCATTTTATTTAACTATTTTGCAACATTGTGGAGATAATTTGTAGAGAGATGATGGTGATGCAGATAGCTCCTGTTAAGAGAAATGCAAATGAATTTTGTGTGGTGGAGATGAAATTCATTTCTAGACTGCTGAAGACACCACTTTTGTATGTGATAGCAAATTTATTTCAGCATTCTTTCATGCTCATATAGGCACTATTTTTTACTTTTTAAAAATTGCTTTTTACATCTTATGGATTTCCTAAATAATGAAAAAGATAAAAATTAGTTATGTAAGATCTTTGATGCATATCTATTTTATATTTTATAAGTCATGATTTGACTTTTGAAAAAATTATTCTTTAACAATTTTACTTCCTCTATCTGAGGTAGTTTCTCTTCTCACTATTTCATCAATTTTATCATTTAACACTGGGCTCAATGTATATCCTCTTAATGAATTTCTTTCTGATCACAATTCCGAGTTATTATGGTAATTAACACTAGCAAAAGTTATCTATCACAACATTTTTATAGTATTCTTTAAACCCTTTATTGTGAGATAAATGTAATAAAACTGTGATTGTTTCATCCTTGTACTTGAATATCTAGCTGGGTGCTTGGTACATGACAAGGATTCTATAAATCACTATGGCCTACTGGCACCCATCTTGAGCAAGCTAGCACTATGAACCACAGAGAGTAAGCCTAGGAATCTCTCTGTCCCCAACTCTGCTCCCATGCTTGCTTCTCTACCCTGCACCTGAGATTCACTGCTATTCAAGGTCACCATCTATTGGGGGAAATCAGCAATTGGCAACTGCCAGGCACCAAGTAGTGGAATCTCGGTCAGGAAATCATCAACTCCATGAGTCACCACGCCTCTAGCCACCTGCCTAAGTTGAAATGACTGGGCTTTCTGGGAAAAGAAGGCATACAAGGATCTGGGTATGACTGGGACAGAGACTAAATCTGACCAAGGTAGCTGCCACTCCACCCCCAAACAGGCCCCTCCACCTCAGGATAGTTTCTCCTGGTTTGAAGAATATCTCCAGCTGACTGCAGCAGTTCAAGCTGGCCCACCGCCATTCACAGTCTATCCCAGGCAAACGGGATAGGGCAAGGCAAGAGTGTTCTCTCTTTATAAGTAACTAGGTATATAATGTCTTCTACTTTTCCTTTGGGTCTGCAAAGCTAAATACTTTTACCAAAAAAAAAAAAAAGTTTACTGATCCTTGCTACAGATTATTAAATTTTAATTTATGACTTGTCTTCCTCAAAGGATTATAAACTCCTTGAGGCAGCAAAAAGTATAATTGTCCCACCATGCTCAGTAATTATTAGATGATTAATTGTTTGCTTTCACCAATCTATATTCTTTAGCATCAAAATCTTCTATTTTTCCTCCATTTAATCCCACTATAAGTTGACAACTTTGAAAGCTACTTATATTTCAGAATAAGAGATAATGATGCAGGATTATTACTTATCTGACATGTTTAAAGAAAACATCAAAAAATTAAAATAGAAGTGTCATATCTATTAGCTAGCAATGACAAAAAGAAAAATACAAAAGAGGCCACAGGTCGTATAAAAAATTTTTAAAAGAAAACAGAATTCTAAATTAGGATTTATTTCACTCCAGGATATTAAATATTTCAAGAGTTTTGAAAGAAACTATCTTCTCCCTTCTGAGGTCTCAATCTATTTGTCTCAGCATGTTAGACATTGAGCCCTTGCCTGTCTCACCTGTTCTTCGCCTCCCACAAGGCCTGTGACTCAAGTGTACCACATGTGAAGTGTAGTCATGAGGCAACTGCTCTAAAAGACATTATTTCATTGACAGATGCAGTGTGCCCTAAGGATTATAGAAACTACTGCTCATGTTTTACTAATTCTTCTGGTCACTAAGTAGACCTCCACCTGTATATCAAGAAAATGACTTATGCCATCATCTGATTTGTGCTAGTCAATCCATTCTGCATTCCTGGACTGTAAGATCATTTGTGCTCAAGGTAAATACTAGCTGTTCTCAGGATGTGTTTACTTCGGGAATTTTGGAACTGGTTGAGGAAAGGTCTCAGGTGAAAGGTATTGATAAAAGAAAAGCTTTATTACATTTATCTTTTAAAGAATTTATTAAAGCATTCAGTGACTCATGAATCAAGGCAGCTTCAGACCACAAGTGGTTAGCACTCTGCCAGGAGGGGCAAAAGGGGAAACTTTTCTGAAGGGTTTGCAGAAGCACGACAAACAAAACAACTTTGGTTAGAATGGAAAGTTCCTAGTTAGAAGTTAGTTAGTAATTTCTTTTCTTTCTTTCTTTCCTTTTCTTTGGGGGTTGGGGTTCTTATTTCAGGTGCTGTATTTGAAAATATATTATAACACAAATACATTGTATAACTTCATGTAAAATGGATCTGGTTTTCCAATATGACAGGGTACAAGTCTCAAATCTAATTCTCCACCTCGCTTTCAGTCAATGATAGCCTCTGTTTTCAGAGAAAAGAACACCCTCATTCGCTTGCTCCCTCAGCTTCCTGGCCAACAATTCACTATCTTGCCTGCATTATTTTCCATCCCTTCGAGATTTATTTCTGTCCATGGAAAGTGGTGTTTAGTCCTTTATCTAAAGTTACTCTCTTCCTAAATTGGTTTCCTTACCTTCTGCTCCCCATTTTTTTCCAGCATCTCCATTCTCTCCTTCTTTGCTTGCTTATTCCCACAGTTAGTGATTTCTGATTGGTAGAGTTACCCTAGTTTCCATTTACTGTTTACATTGGGCTTTGATTTGTTCACCAAAGAATTTGAAGTGCCAGAGCCACCCCAGTCTAAAGGTCTCTAAATTCGATTAAAAAAAAAACAGTATGTTTAAATGAAAAAGACTAGAAAACAACATATCTGAGAGGATGATGTATGATGACTTTTCACAATGAAACTCGTCTGTCAGATGGGGTTTGTGGATATCTATTACATGTTATCTCCTAAATATCTGCAGGGAGGACCCTGTGCATAGTCACATGGAAAGGCACATTCTTTAAAAATGTTGATTGTAAATATTCAGATACATCCAATGTGCTGGGAGGAAATAATTATTACTGTTTAAGGTATTACCATTTTCATACAATTTTAAGGACTTTCAGAGTGCTTCAGCTGTTTGGAGCTTGATTCGAGGGAAATTGAGCGTGTGTGTGTGTGTGTGTGTGTGTGTGTGTGTGCGTGTGTATGTGTACGTCTTAAAACTTTCTGTTCCCAAGGTTCTACATAACTGTCCTCCTAGCTCATATGGAAAATGTTTTGTCTTAGTCTGTTCAGGCTGCTATAACAAAATGCCATAAATTGAGTAGCTTATAAATAACAAAAATTTATTTTTCATCGTTCTGGAGGATGGGAAGTCTAAGATCAAGGTGCTAGTATATTGAGTATCTGGTGAGAACCGACTTCCTGGTTCACAGATGACTGTCTTTTCATTGTAATTTCACATGGCATAAAAGGAGGGATGGCCTCTTTGGGACCTTTATTTTTTTTTAATAAGGATATTAATCCCTCTCATAAATTCTCTGCCCTCATAACCTAATTATCTCCCAAATGACCCATCTTTTAAAACGATCCATTGAGGATTAGGATATTAATATATAAATTTTGTAGGGACATAAACATTTAGAACACTGCAGGCTTGTTTTCTGCAAAGCAAAATGTGTAGGTGGTTCATATCTTCCCATCGCTGCTATCACCTCCATGTATAAATGACTTAGCCTTGTGGCAAAACTCTAATTCTATCCACCATGAAATGTTTCTTCTAGTATATATAAAAGAAACTCTAGAATATTCCTGTTCATTTTTAATGGAATGAAAATAATTTACATGAACTTAGGATACTTTTTCAACTCTCTATAGCCACATAAAACTGGCCAAATCAGCTCATGCCCTTTAGGAAATAAGAGAACAAGATAGATGAAAATCAAACCAATAAATGTGTTGTGAAATTATATATATGGAAATTAAGTAGGGAGATCTAGACAGTAATTTCCTAAACACACCATTTTTAGACTTAGTATTTCTTATAGACATCACCTTTTCTTTTTCTTGTGGTTGGAAGAAAATTAAAATTGAAAGAGCAAGCTTTATGTTCACATTTTTAAGAATGCATTTGGAAAAGAAAACAAACAAAAATTTTGATTTTTTTTAAAGTGGGATTAAGTTAAGGTATGTCAACTGGGAGTGGACAGGAAGTTGAATTATTGATATTGGCTTGGCAATCCTTGAATAGTGGATTCAAGGAATGAACAATATCATCTTTCAACAGCCTCAAAAAAAGACCCAGATGACCTGATGGAGAAAAAGACTATATCAAACTTAAAATATGTTCTGCCATGTTTATTTGAATTCACTGCAACTACTGAGCTACAAACATGTGGACAAGTAGACAACTAGAAATCTGAAAGGAAACTGAACTTACTTCAAAGGAGGATCAGTAGGAGAGTACAAAGAATGTAAATCAGCACTTGTTGGGGAACTAAATGCTAGAACCAATGCTAGTCACTTTACATTCAAGTGACATTTAAAAGTCACAATAATGCTACAGGTTATGTATTATGGTTCCTATTTGAGATGAGAAAATAGAGGCTCAGAGATTGTAAATAATTTGCCACAAATCACATAACTTGTCAATCGTGATGGCGTTTAGTATTTCATGACATCATGCCAGAGAAACAATAGACCCCAGTATATATGAGTTCTTTTAATGCTATGTAGACATAGGTGGCAATTTGCTGTCATATTAGGAAGATAAAAAGTAGGGATTTTTTTATTTGCTTTAAGTTTTCTTATGTCTCCTGGTAAATAATATTATTTCTACTCCAGAAACCACAAAGAATTCTTGACTGTTCCTTAAGAGTCCAAGTAAGTTTTAGGTGAACACACTTCTTTTGATCTTTCCAGTATTAATACAAATTACTCATCCTGAAAGATCAATAATTATTGGCTTTTTTTTTTAGTTCCTAGGTCTGTGTTTCATGATGAGTCAATATGATGTGTTAGCACAGCACCATGAAAATGATGTGAAATGGCATCAGGGACTCGTGACTGATGGCCAGAAACCTAGCCAATTATGGGAAAAATTTTTTTCTCAAGAAGTCAGGAAAAGAAATGTCACCTTACATGCCAGAAGAAAACATCATGCTTCTTTGAAAGAAACTCATCCTAACAAAGCATTATTGAGTCATTGATGCCAGCTCAAAGCCTCATGCAGAAATCTAGTATGATGTTCCTTGTCCTTTTAGTTTTGGGACAAATGACCCAAATACATTCTCATAATTATCACGCTGATACAATTATGGTTTCCATAAACTCTCTTGTTCTTTTTTTTTTTTTTTTTCTTTTTTTGACAGAGTCTCATTCTGTTGCCCAGGCTGGAGTGCAGTGGCGTGATCTCGGCTCACTGCAACCTCCGCCTCCTGGGTTCACGCCAGTCTCCTGCCTCAGCCTCCCGAGTAGCTGGGGCTACAGGCGCCCGCCACCAAGCCTGGCTATTTTTTTTTGTATTTTCAGTGGAGATGGGGTTTCACCGTGCTAGCCAGGATGGTCTCGATCTCCTGACCTTGTGATCCGCCCGCCTCAGCCTCCCAAAGTGCTGGGATTACAGGCGTGAACACCGCGCCTGGTGGTTCTCTCTTGTTCTTATGTTTAATGAGTGTCAACAAATGCTACTGGAAGCAACAACTCTTCCTCATTAAACAAATGGCATCTTTCCAATCATTTAATTTGTAAAGTGTGAATTTCTCCTGAAGCAGATCTCTTCTCTTTCTCCAACCTGCACTTACGTCATGGCTCAGTCATTCAAAACTGTTACTAAAAATTTATACTCAGAGTCAAAGGCAGTGTATGTTTTACAGCATACACAACATCTAAAAGGGACAATATAATCTAAATATTTTCTATTACTCTATTAATATTGCTAGGTTTTCTCACTCATCCTATTATAGATCAGAAAAATAACAAGCTTATTTTCCCATCCTTGACTAGTTTTCTTCCTGTCACTTATCTGTGCTTTCATTCATTGGAAACATAGTTATCAAACACCAGATAGAAGTGTGCCAATCACCATCCCAGTCCCTGGGAGCCCAGACAAGAAGGAACTCTGCATGTCAGAGTCTCATACTCCAGTTAGGTAGACAAATACCCAAACAGACAATTACCAAGCACGTGTATGCACACTACAAACCAATGGCAGGAACCCCAACTATTGTTTTTCTGGAGGAGATAACATACTGAATTTTGATGAAATTAACATTTAAATTTTTACCTGGAGATAAATTTTTACCAACAGGGGTTTCCGAGATGAGTTCTCCCCAAACTATTTGCGACGTGGTGAAGAACCAATCGTTTTGTTTGTCTATTTTGTTTTGTTTATCTAACCCATTGCGGGATGCCACTTTCATACAATACAATAAAAATATCTCAGCAATATCAAATTGCTGTGGCATTATGTACTTATCTCACTAAGATCTGTAACCAGTGGTTTCCTGACTGACATTAGCCCACAGAGCCAAATTTGAGTACTGCGAACTTTGTTTACCAGGCTCAGAAACATAAGTTGCAATACATGGCTTTATTTCAGTGGCATGGAGAGGACAAGCTGAAGAATTTCCAGCTGTTCCCTCCTCCTCCAGAAATAGTATTATCTAACAATTCCATAGCTCTTGCTGTGAGACAGGCACTCTTCACCACAAGCTCTGAATATCAGTGTCCCCATTTCACAGATAAAGATACTGAGATCACACAGCAAGGAAATGCCGGAAGTGGGATACAAACCTAGAAACTCCAGTTCTGATCACTAAGCTATGCCACAGGGTGAGGGCATGACCTGACCATTTGGAGGGAGGTTTCCTCTCTTCAAATGAGAAGCCCAATTTTATCTTTCTGATTTTCACAGAATATATTTATTCCCATGAAAGTGTGAGTTGTGTGCTTAAGTGAAAAGGAGTGGCATTATAATAGCGAGTAATTTTTCTTTCTTTTTTTTTTTTGAGACGGAGTTTTGCTCTTGTTGCCCAGGCTGGAGTGCAATGGCACGATCTCGGCTCACTGCAACCTCCACCTCCCAGGTTCAAGTGATTCTCCTGCCTCAGTCTCCCAAGTAGCTGGGATTACAGGCGTGCGCCACCACGCCTGGCTAATTTTGTATTTTTAGTAGAGACGGGGTTTCGCCACATTGGCCAGGCTGGTTTCAAACCCCTGACCTCAGGTGATCCACCTGCCTCAGGCTCCCAAAGTGCTGGGATTATAGGCATGAGCCACCACACCAGGCCAATAGTGAACAATTTTTCTAAAATGAAAGATTTACTGTCCAAGTAGGTTGATGAACTAAAGTCATTCAAATAATATTTAGTTTCTTCACCAAGTGTGCCAGTATGCTGTGGGAGTACAATGTTCATATGAACATGCAGAAGAGGCATTTCCTGTCCTTTGCGATAGTTTTGTGTGTCAACTGGGCTATTGTTATTTAATCAAACACTATTCTAGATGTTGCTGTGACCACGTATTTTGTAGATGCGGTTGACTTTGAGTAATGATGACCCTTAATAATGTGGGTATGACTCGTTCAATCAGTTAGAAGGCCTTTAGAGTAAGACTGAGGTTTCCTTAAAGTGGAAGAAATTCTGCCTCAAGACTGCAACGTCAGCTCTTGCCTGAGAATTTCCAGCCTACTGGCCTGCCATACAAGTTTTGGACTTGCCAGCCCTCACAAGTGCATAAGCCAATTTCCTGAAACAAATATCTTTGTATAAATATATGTAAGTGTGCATATATACACACACACACATACACAACTGGTTCTGTTTTGCTGAAGAACACAATCCAACCTGGTTATAACATAACTTATTTAATTTTCTTAAACACTATTAAGATATCTGTTAGGAAGTCTTCCATATATATATGTGTGTGTGTATATATATATATATGTATACACACATATATTAAATTCAACTTAAAGCTTTTTATATTCTCTTTATATCTTCTTTAAATTTAATTTTTAATGACAAAATTGTCTTCTCATGCTCAGAAAAAAAACAGGATAAATTCTAGGTTTGAAACTCAGTTCTACATTTTAACCTGTGCTGACGACTTTAAGATACTCAACTTGTACCTGTTCATTAATATTTTTATTTAGAAAATAAATAGAACTAATATGTCTATATTACTAAGTTATAAAAAAGGATTAGATTCTCTTTTTTTGGTACCTCAATTTTCTCCTCTGTTTAATAGCAATAAAACTTGTCAACTTTCTGCCTTAGAAAAATATATTTTTTTAAATACCCAAATATTCAGAGAAAAGTTATAAATGCATAGGAAAAAGCACCATTTATATTCAAATAATTACTAAACGTTTTTAAAAATCTGATACACACAAAAAATGTGAAAGTAAACACAGTCAATTGTTTTATCACTGTTATAATTAATGATTTTTTAAATAATTAAAACTTCAAACCTTCAGGATTTGTACAGTGAATTTGTATTGCACTTTAGGTTTTATAATTTAAAGATAATTTTTTGGAAAGTAAATTGCAAAAACTATATCATTTTCTTTATCTTAATTTAAAAAGTCAGCCATCAATGGCCAGACACCAATCTTGGTGTGTATACTTTTGAAGTTATCCTGTTCACTCTGGAAAGATTTATATCAAATACCTTCTAAGGTGAAAAGTTATTTATAGATTATTGAAAGTATGTGTGACAGAAGACTTTTTAGTAAAATACAAATTATTCCAATAGTTAAGAACAGTTATTACTTTAGTGAAATATAATATACTCTCTCTTTTAAAATTCTTGCCCTGATTTTCTATGCCTCAATCCCTTTGTTCCATCTTTTTTATTGTTCCATTGAAATCAGTGAAGGAGAATGATTAATCTTATCCAAATGAAGCTCCAGAAGTGTACATGGCTGTACCAGACATCTGGTGTGTTAACTATCAGCAGATCGGCCCTACAGCAGCTGATGACAGCAGACAGGAGTCTAAAACAGGAGCATCCACCTCAGGTCTTATTTATAATGCAAGAGTCAGTGATGAAGCGCACATGCTGCCTTGAAATGGCACAGCTGTGAAAAGACGCAGCCTCGGGCTGCTGCGAAATGGCATTAGATGTTATTTAGCAGCCCTTCCCAAGCACTTACCTAATAGAGGCATGTGCACTATTTCCCAGACTGAACAATAGGGGCACACCGAGAGAAAAACCTCTAGTGGAAAGGATTCAAAACTGGGTCTAAGAAATATCCATGCATCTATCGGTGGATAGTGTTAGATAAAAAAATTTGTTGTTGTTACAGAGGATTATATAAATAATTTTAAAGTTTTGTGTTTTTAACATTTTAAAATAGTTTTTCTTCTTTTATTATTAAAAAATCTGCTGAAATATCTCCCAGGGATATTGCTTTTCTGGGTTTATTTCGGAAAGTCCCACCAGTGGAAAAGCAGCAAACTGAAAGTCCGATTCCACATATCTTTTTATTACTGCTGACTACAGACTTCTTCAGATAGTAGCAGTTAAAGTTCAAAACTGTAATTTCCCCCAGCAAATAGGAATTGGAAGTCTAGAGAGTTAATAGTGCTTTTTCATGAAAACCCAACTCTGTGATCTAATTTCAGATTGCAGGAAATATGCCAACTCTAGTGGCTAATTAGAGTTGTTCATTGAAAATTATTTGTATCCAGCCTTTAATCCCTTACAGCAAAGTATATTGACGACGTTGGCAGCATAAACATTGGCAGCATGAATGTTAGATTTTTAGGAAAGAGTACAAGAAAAAATGGTTGCATTTGGATTATGCGGTTTCCTTGGCTGAAAAATTTTCAGACGACAAGATGCTAATTTCGGCTAAATTTGGTGACAGTTCGCATTTTCCACTTAAATACTGGAGCCTTTTTTTTGAGAGAGGGCTTTAATAGGAATATATTTCTCTCACATATCTCCACATTGAAGAATAATTCTGGGATAGACTGGCATTTGCTTTGCTAGTTAAGATTTTACTAGATTCATTAAATTCAGATTGTTTTAGGATTAAACTGAAAACCTCTTCCTTTGTTGCCACAGTTATACCCATCTGGGGTTTAATCCTATTTTTCCAAGGGACATCTAACTCTAATGTAAATTACATGAAGCCAGAGAGTTTTTATCTAATTGGTTGACTGCTGTAACCTGAGAGCCCACTGCAGGACTTGGCACATAGATTCGGTACCCACCATATATTCATTAAGTGAATGATTGAAAGAATGAATGATATTTAGTCTCAAGTGAGGGAGAGAATGAGACTGTATTTAGATCAACTGGTAAGCCTAAATACTTGGTGTCAAAGTAGTTCACTCCAGCAATGCCAGGAACATTTGGATCCCAACCACACCCTGTGTTCCATCCCTTCTTCCTCCTTGCTTTTACTGCCGCTATTTTAATAAAACAGTTTTATTTGATCTTTTTACAAGTGAAAGAGTTGGGCAGAGCTTAATGAATGACCTTTATATCATATTGACTGTAGGAAAATTAAGAAAACTTAATTTCCCCCACAATATCATGGCCCTAAGCTAGGATTTTTAAAAATAAAGAGCAGCTTTAAATCATACAGAACATCAATTGCGTCTAAAAGTGACCCTTAATAAAACAACAATAATAAAAATTAAAAGAACAACAACATATGTAGTCAGCAAATTTTGTCTTCAGGACTCTATGCCTCCACTTTTTTCTTTCGTCATACTTTGCCCAAAGGCACTCAGTTTCTCCACTTCATGTCATCCTCCTCTCCCAGAAGAAAATTTTATAATTCATTCACTTTGAATTATTAATGAGACTTAATCTGTTGCTATCCAGAGGTATTACAATTTTAAATAAAAAATCCATTTCTAATCGTGTAAGAGTATTTGAGGCATTAAGAGGCTAACTGAGAAGCCCTGAAATCATATGATCCATTCCCTATATAATATTAATGAATATTAGTTAGCAATAAAACTCATGGGCTAGTAGTAGAGGCAAATTGGTAAAAATAATTCTAAATTTCTATAATTAGTGTGAATAACATAAGTATGTATCATGTGATTGTTTCAAAGGGGGGTGATCAGTTTGCCTGAGCACTCTGGAAGAATCATTATTTCACAAATCAGCCTTTTTAAAAATAATTGGATAGGTTTAATAATTTTTTTAAAATGTATCCTCTTGTTGAATTGAAGACTGTTTTAATGTTCTTTACACATTAGCCAAGTACTGGCCACTGGAGTGGAAAAAACCTCAGATGTTTTAGGTAGGTAGGTTTTTCTTCTTCTTCTTTAAGAACTGCTTATTTCCTCAACATTCAACAAGCTATATCCTTGTCTAATTTTAACTACTCCCCTTTCCACTAGACGCCATGGACTTCCAAGCATCTGTTCTAACTTAGTAAGGTTCTATCTAACATGGTAGCAGCTGACAAGAGGTAGTGAATTTGCCTCTAATAATGAGTGGACTATCACTCACTTGGTAGGTCCTCTGCCCGACTTCATTATTAGATGTGAAGTTTAATTAGGGGCTGAAGAAGTATAATTTCAAACACAGAACTCCTTTTAGAATAAAGACGCAGGTCACTGTCTACTTGCAGCTACCACAATCTATGTCTGCAATGGACTGGAATTTCTGAAAGGAAGGGCATAGCACTAAGCAGGCTGCTGAGGTGTTTTAATCCCTAAAATTCCAGTGGAAAGGTCACCATAAATGCCAAACATAACAGGACTTTAGTGACCATGAAACTCCCCTGAGAAATCCAGATAAGAAACAAATGATTAGTAGAGATTTAAAACAATGATAATACAGAATGCTGGTGAGAAGGATGCATGATTACATCTCTTGGTGGATTCAGCCTTCTGGAAGGTGATTTGGCAATGTGTGAATAATCTGAATGATCTAAATACCAGCCTGGACAATATAGCAAGACCTTGTCTCTAAGAATAAAAAAAAAAAAAATTACCCAGGCATGGTGGTATGTGCCTGTGGTCCCAGCTACTCAGGAGGCTGAGGCAAGAGGATCACTTGAGCCTGTCCAGTTGAGGCTGCAGTAAGCTTTAATCGCACCACTGCATTCCAGCCCAGGTAACAGAGTGAGATCTAGCCTCAAAAAAAAAAAAAAAAAAAAAAAAAAAAAAGTCTGAACATGTGCACGTACTTTGATCCAGAAATACCTTAAGCATAATCGGAGATGTATGTAAAAGTTTCCCTTATAAGTATGCTTATAGCAGCATAAGTTTAAATATTGGCATATATTTGATCATAGAAAGTTGCTTAAATTAAATTAATTTGCTTATCCATGTGACTGGATATGACAGAGTCACTGAGAATCATACTATAGAATAATGAATGACATGGGAAATGGTACTTATTAAATATTAATGGAAAGAAACAGGTCACAAAAATTATGCATTGTGACATGATTTAAATAATGTAAAGTACATGTATGTATGTAAGAGTAGGGGAAACTCAAAGTATTGACGTACCATACAGCAAAATGTAAAATATCTGATCCCTTAGCTATAGAGATGAGACTTTTTTTTTACTTTTTTCTTCATACTTTTCTAGAAATTCATATTTTCTATTATGATGAACCATAAGAAGTTACCGTTAACTGACTATAAATGGCCATTTTATAAGGTTCAAGCTCATGAGCTGAATATAAATATTTTTATAATAAAAATAATAATTTTGGTTTATTAAAGAAATGATCTTCCTGCCACACAGGCTGAGATATTAGTCTTTCATCTGTAATAGGTTGCAGTCAGGTTAGCTAAAAATCAGCAAAGTTCTTGTTTTCCAGCACCTTTTCTGTTCACTCCAGTGTGTATGCAGAAAGACAATAATATTCTAGGTGTGTTGTGAACCAAAAACATTCGATAAACACCGGTTGATCAAGAAAACATTTTCATGTTCCCTTTTATGACAGGGAGGGTGGTGTGGGAAAAACCAAGAGATTTTATTATTTTGTCTGGGAAGAGGCCCATATGTATGAGTTCCCTTTGTAAAGGAAACTGTGACACCAAAAAGGTATTGCTTTACCCTTGCACCAGTAGATTTTCCCAGCTTCTATCTTTAACAGGGAAAGCCAGGCTCATAAAATGAGATTGAAATATAAAACTTTCTTTCCACACATGCACCCACCGTCTAACCTCAATCACTCTGATTTGCAGTCTCTCACTTCACCAGTAATCACTGCCATCCTAACTATGGAGTGGTTGAGCCAAGCTGTGGGATTGTGGCATTAGATTTGCAAGGCTCTAGAAGTGTGTCGTAAGATAAACATAACATTGCTAAAGCCCTGAATCGGATCATATGACTCCTTAAGACTTCAAGGAGGGAACATACCACCTATCAAATGGCATGGCTCAAAAAGGCATAGCTTAGTAGGTTAATTTACTTTTCCTTTTACTGGATGACTAGTGCAGCTGGTAGGTTTTGGGCAATCAGCTAAACTTAGAATTGTGGTCAATAGACAGACATTCTCTGCTGAAAGTCTTGGCTGTGAGTACGGATTCACACTGGAATAAATTGTCTGAACTTTAACTACACAGAGAATTGGGCAACTTGTCCACAGATATTTAGAAAAGAGTTGGAAGAATCCTTGAGGTTTTCCACTCCAACTGGCCACCCAGTGAAAAAAAATCTCCATTAAAGCATACTTGATGGATGGTGTCAGTCAGTCTCTGCCCGAATGCACAGAAAGTTCAACTACTCTATGAGTCAACCTTTTCCATTGTTGGAGTTAGAAAAGGCTTCCATATTAGGGAGCTGGTATCTCCCTTGTTGTTGGTTTTTATATGGTCCTGGTGCTGCCCTCTAAAGCAGAAAATGTTTACTTCCCCTTTCACGTGATAGACTTTTAAATACTTGAAGGCAACAACAATAGGTTAAATCTTAATTAATAAACAAAATGAGAAGACTTGAGAAACAAAGAATAAATGCCAGCAAAAAACATGCTCACATTAAATGGAAACAAAGGCTATATTTGCTTTTTAAAATAAACTTTTTAAAGAATAGTTTTAAATTTACAGAAACATTGAGACAATAGTGTTCCCATATACTTCCACTTATTACACACCCAGTTTTCTATATTATTAACATCTTGCATTGGTATGGTACATTAGTTACAATTAATGAACCAATATGAGTACATGATTATTAACTAAATCTATACTTCATTCGATTTTCTTAGTTGTTACCTAACGTCCTTTTGCTCTTCCAGGATCTTATTCTGGATGGCCTGAATTAAGCACTACATTTAATCTCCATATTTCTTTAGGTTCCTATTGGCTGAAGAGTTCTTTACTTTCCTTGATTTTGCTATTGTTGATGGTTTTCAGGAGTACGGGTCAGGAATTTTGCAGGATGTTCCTTTATGGAAATTTGTCTGATGGATGGGTTATATGTTTTTAGAACAAAGATCACAGAGATAAAGTGCCATTTTCATCACATATCAAGGGTTTATGCTATCAACATGATCTTGACTTTGATAACCTGGCTAAGGTAGTGTTTCTAGTGTTTCTTCACCATAAAGTTCCTCATTTTCCTCCTTCCTCATGGCAATCTTTGTAACAAAGCCATTCTGTATAGTGGGAAGTTATAATGTCCCTCTTTTAGAGTGCAGCATCTACATAATTTATTTTGAATTCTTCTGAATGGGAGATTTTTCTCTTCACCATTCAATCATATATTTATATCAATATAGATAATGAATTAATATAGATCACTTATTTTATATTTGAGTTTAGAATTCAATGCTATTTCATGCATTTTGTTGCTCAAATAGTTCCAGTTTTGGCCATTGTAAACTCCTTCAATTGATGTTTGTGCCCCTTTGCCACACTCCCATCAATATAGGTTGTTTTATGGGGTTTATTGTAGTTGTTTTGTGTGTGTGTGTGTGTGTTGTTGTTGCTGTTTAAACACCTCCTTCTTGTACCACAGAATCTTCCAGGATTATCTGTATATTTCATCTCCCAGTCCTAGAATCAGTCATTTCAGACATTTCTCTAAGGGGTCTTGTGTTTTTGTTTTTTGTTTTTATTGGATAATGGTATTATTATAGAAATTAAGAACCAGGTGCTAGGTGTACTTGCTCCTACTGGGGAGTTGTTTTATTTAGGCACTCTCAGCTTACAGAACAAGGAAATGTATGTGAGTATCCTAAACCATGTATATACACATATCTACAAACTTTTCTATATGTAGCCATATGTATCTATATTAAGCTAAACATGAGTTCATACTGATATCTCCAACTCTAATTCACTCCTAGTGGATTATTTTAGCCTCCTGCTGCTGCCCATCTGTAAACTGTCACTTCTACAGTAAGAAATGCAGCTTCTACCATCTGCTATCCATTTACTTAAATGTTTACTTCCAGTATATGTGTGTAGCAGAATCAGAATTGTTAACCTGCACTCCTGTGAGAAACAACTTTAGCAAGGCATATGTACAGTTTTACCTTTTGATTTGCAGAGATGTTTGCTTTTAACAAACAGGATTTTTAAAACCTAGTTTATATTTTTGAGCCGTTCTTATCCGTCATTCAGTAATGACAATTTGCTATGGTTGATAGCACATTGCTTGCTTACTAGAATTTAAAACTTTGCAGAAGCTGTCCTGCCAATTTATTTATTTATGAATTCAACATTCTTCTTTATAGAGAAGAGGGTATGCCACTAATAAGTACATTTCTGTTAAGTTAAAGGTAGTAAATTAAGCAAAATTGACCCATGTTAATGAGATTATTAACAGATGTCTACCCACCATGCCAGGTCGATTTCAACAACACCAAGGAGACAGAAAGCTAGAGAAGAAAGTCAGGAAATAAGAGACCTGCCACCTAAACAGTTTCAGAGATGTCATAATCCTCTAAGAATACTCCCCAAGAAAGGTTTCTTACTGTTTCAGACACCAGTTCTCAGATAGGAAAACCCAGCAACCTTCTTTTCAGCCAATAGAACCATTGTTCAAGTGACGAAGGACTGCTACAGTTTAGAAAGCATTTGTTGGTAAAACTTTCATAAAAGTAGATGATGAACAAGCCTATGTTGATCACACTGGGTGTGTGCCAGTGTCTGATACTGAATACCCTCCCTGACAAGTGCTTCCGCAGTGCTTCCACATTCTTCCAACTGCAATACCTTAAAATAGAAGGATCAACTGTGTGGAATAAATGTCTGACTATCGGTCTGAAGATTTGGCTCCTCATTCTTGTTCTGCCAGTTAGTATTGGTGTGGCTTTGGAAAAGTCACTGAATCTATTACCTTATTTGAAAACTAGATGGATCATTAAGTAAGGTCAAAGTCAGTCAAGCTTTTAATGATTTTCAGTAGATGAAGCTTGTCTTTCCTAATGATGCTCTGTTTTTTTCCTTCACTAAAGGAAGAAAAAAATTATCTCCAAGAAACAACCTCTTACACAATTCAGTCTAATGAAATTCAGTTCTACACAAGAAATACTGAGATTTTATTAAGTGCCAGGCAATGTGCTAGGCCCTGAGATAAACCTGTTTCGAAGACAAACAAGGTCCATGCCTTTGCAGAGCTGATAGTCTAATATGATAAACAAATAGGTAAACATGCACTTTACAGTGATGTATGATAAGGGCTTTGATGGGTAACAAGAACAATCACAAATATTTTTAAAAGAGCCCTAAACTTTTAAAAGTCTATTCTCAGGAAAAATCTGAAATATACTCTAATAAGAAATTGTCTGTGAATAATTTAAAGACTATTCCAATTGTGGGGAAGGGAATCTATACTTCACAGCTTTTATTTACTGGAAAAAGATCCCTAAAAGCGCATTTTTAGGTATTTGCTGGCCTGTGGGGGGCCTGGGGCGTTCTCAAGCTCTTGACATCACTGTAGTATAGAGCCTATACTACTACAGAGATAGATGATCATTTACTCTGCCCACTTGGCATGTAGCTGGATCTAATGCAAGACTCTTCATGTCTTATCTTTAGGTTGTCTTTTCAGCTCAGAAATATAAATATTCAGTATTATTGGAACAAGAAGGCCTTTCAATCAACTTGTGCCATTGCCCACATTCCTTGAAAGGAGGACAGCCTGTTCTAAGTGATAACAAATTCTTAATTTACTGAAATCTCTGCTTCAATCAGATCTGCTGCTGCAGCCTACTGCCCAGGCTGATAGCTCCCTTATCTACACTCCCTCAGAAAATAAAAGGTGGAAATGCTGAATTGCTGCCAGTCTTCTTCCAGTCAAGGCCTTCTATTAAAAGGTCTGGAAGGGCCAGCTCCTTGCCCAGAGCACCTTCGAACATGGCTATGGAGTAGAAGCTCAGCTTAAGGACTTAAGGACAAGATGTTAAACTAGAAAAAAAGAGAAATGTCGATTTTGACTTTGAGAAAGCTCACAAGCCACTTAAATATTCAGATCTATTAGCCAAGTCATAGCCAAAAGTGACTGTGGCATTTTCATCAGATAAGCAACAAAGATAAATACTATGTTTCCTGTCCCACAGTGATTACTACTTTAACTTGTTAAATTTCTTTTAAGTTGAGGCTTTTTATATCTGTCACCAGATTCTGAATTCATTTTGTTGTTTGTAAATCAAGAAAAGACTTGAGTTTCTTCCTGTGTGGACTAAATACTACTAAGCTTCATATTCTGGGCATTTATAGATTTACCTGTACTTTCTAAAATCCTTCCTCTCGACTTATTTTTTATTTTTAAGAACCATTGGCCACTCTTTTGCCTTCCTCACTAAGTAAGCACTTACAGTTTGGGCACATGCTGTTTTACTAAACACAATGGATCCAAACTCATGTGTCAACACAAGGGTTGTTGAGCGCAGTGAAGTTGTGGTATTAGTCATTCCAAACTGAAATTGTGGACTAATCTTTACATTCCTGCCATTCGTTCCTCAGCCATCCTTCTCTTTTCCGTTAGCTAAATAACCAGGAAGGTGTTGAACAATGTAAACAGCATCCAAGCTTGGAAACATTGGCTGGAGATATGACTTGAGATGACTTAAGCCATCCAGTTAGGTCCAGGCCTGAATCCATTAGTTATCCAGTTTCCCCAAAGTTCAGAGGATAGTTTATAGATATAAGTATTGTATTTATACATATATCCATGCATCTATATGTATGTATATAAATAAATATATCTATGTTTGTGCATGAATACACATGTACACACACAATTTCTTGTCTTAAACTTGGCTTTTCAAAGAAGATGCTAAACAATACATTTTTGAGATCACCCCCGTGAGTACATGTAGTTCTCTGTCAGCTATTTTTAAAGACAACATAGACTTCCAATAAAAATGTCACCTTTATTTATTTAACCAATTCCCTATTAAAAGACATTTAGATTATTGCTCTTCTTTTGTCATTAAAATTATGCTTCAATGAACTTACCTTGATATCTTTCATTTTCTTATTCATGAGTTTATCAGAAGTATGCATTTCTCAAAGTGGAATTTTGGGGGCAGAGTATACACATTAAATTTTTACTGTGTTAAGTTTGTTTCCATAGAGTTATAAAAATTACACTCACACCAGTAATATAAGAGGGACTCTTTCCTCAAGTGCTCAGTAAAACAGTGTTGCTAAATCTTTTTTCTCTTATCTCATAGGCAAAATATGGTATCTCAATGTAGCTTCTAGTTTGCTTTTTTTAATGATTGGGATTAATAATATTTTCCTGTGTTTAGAAATGATCCCTTTTTTTTTCTATGAACTCTAGTCATCCATTGCTTATGTTTCTGAGTTGTTTGTATACTTTTACTTATTGAAGGGGTTTTCCTAAGTAATTTAACTATTTCTTTAATGACATAAACCACAAATAGTTTTCCTTGTTTTTTATTATCTCTGATTTTAATTTCGGGTTTTCTTTGTAGAAAACGTAGTTGAAGTATGTAATTGAATTTATTATTTTAAAATAATTTTCAGATTTGGTTTCACACTAAGGCAAGTTTTATTTAATATAAAATCTTCTAAGATTTACTCTATTAATTGGATGTTTTAATATTTGTTTTTGTTTTGAGATGGAGTCTCGCTCTGTTGCCCAGGCTGGAGCGCAGTGGCATAATCTCAGTCTTGGCTTACTGCAACCTCTGCCTCCCGGGTTCAAGTGATTCTCCTGCCTCAGCCACCCCAGTAGCTGGGATTGCAGGCATGCGCCACTGCGCCCTGCTAATTTTTTTTATTTTTAGTAGAGACTGGTTTTTGCTATGTTGGCCAGGCTAATCTCAAACTCCTGACCTCAAGTGATCTCCTGCCTTGGCTTCCCAAAGTGCTGGAATTACAGACTTAAGGCACATAACCTGGCCTATTGATGTTTCAATACTTGAATGTCTAATTTGTTTTCTTACAACCATGTTTTCAAATATATAGTTATTTCACTTTATTTTACACCATTTACATTTCACTTTTTTTCTTTTTTTTTTGAAACGGAGTCTCGCTCTGTTGCCCAGGCTGGAGTGCAGTGGTGTGGTCTCGGCTCACTGCAAGCTCCGCCTCCCGGGTTCACGCCATTCTCCTGCCTCAGCCTCCCGAGTAGCTGGGACTACAGGCGCCCGCCACCATGCCCGGCTAATTTTTTGTATTTTTAGTAGAGACGGGGTTTCACCGTGTTAGCCAGGATGGTCTCAATCTCCTGACCTCATGATCTGCCCACCTCAGTTAAATTTTGTTTGACCATTTTATATTCGTTTTAATGAAATTTTTTTGTGGACTTCTTTTTCTTTAACCTTTATTTTAGGTTCAGTGATATATGTGCAGGTTTGTTATATAGGTAAATTGTATGTCATGGGGGTTTGTTGTACAGATTATCACCTCACCCAGGTAATAAGCTGATATGGTTTGGCTGTATCCCCCACTCAAATCTCACCTTGAATTGTAATAATCCCCACGTGTCAAGGGCAGGGCCTGGTGGAGATAATTGAATCATGGGGGTGGTTTCCCTCATACTGTTCTAGTGGTAGTGAATATGTCCCACGAGATCTGATGGTTTTTTAAATGGGAGTTCCCCTGCACAAGGTCTCTCTTGCCTGCTGCCAGGTAAGACCTGTCTTGCTTTCCCTTCATTTTCTGCCATGATTGTGAGTCCTCCTCAGCCATGTGGAACTGTGAGTCAATTAAACCTCTTTCCTTTATAATTTACCCAGTCCTGGGTATGTCTTTATTAGCAGCGTGAGAACAAATTAATACATAAGTATAGTCCCCAACAGGTAATTTTTTGATTCTTACCTTCCTCCCATTCTTCACCCTCAAGTAGGCCCTGGTGTGTGTTATTCCCTTCTTTGTGTCCATGTCTAGTCAATATTTAGCTCACATTTATAAGTGAAAACATGCAGTATTTGGTTTTCTGTTCCTGTGTTAGTTCACTCAGGATAATGGCCTCCAGCTCCATCTATGTTGCTGCAAAGGACAGGATCCCTTTTATGGTTTTTTTTTAATGATTGCATAGTATTCCATGGTACATATGTACCACATTTTCTTTATTCAGTCTACATATTGATGAGAATCTAGGTTGATTCCATGTTTTTGCTATCGTGAATAGTACTGTGATTGATGCACATATGTGTGCATGTGTCTTTATGGTGGAATGATTTATATTCCGTAGGGGATATACCCAATAATGGGATTGCTGGGTCAAACGGTAGTTTTATTTTAAAGTATTTGAGAAATCATCGAACTGTTTGCCACAGTTGCTTAACTAATTTACATTCTCACCTCTGCACCCTTGCTAGAATCATTATTTTTTGTCTTTTTAATAATAACCATTCTGACTGATGTAAGATGGTATCTCATTATGGTTTTGATTTGCATTTCTCTAATGATCAGTTATGTTGAGCATTTTTTCATATGCTTGTTGGCCGCGTGTTTGTCTTCTTTTGAGAAATACCTATTCATGACCTTTGCCCATTTTTTAATGGTGCTGTTTGTTTTTTGCTTATTGCTTTGTTTAAATTCCTTATGGATTCTGGATATAAGACCTTTGTCAGATAAATAATTTGCAAATATTTTCTCCCATTTGGAGATTGTCTGTTTACTCTGTTGATAGTTTCTTTTGCTGTGCAGAAGAATTTTAGTTTAATTGGGTCCAATTTGTCAATTTTTGGTTTTGTTGCAATTGCTTATTGTGTCGTGGTCATAAAATCTCTGCCAGGTCTTATGCACAGAATGGTATTTCCTAGGTTGACTTCAAGGATTTTTATAGTTTTGGGTTTTACATTTAAGTCTTTAATCTAGGGGTCCATTTTCGATCTCCTGCATATGGTTAGCCAGTTATCCCAGCACCATTTATTGAATAGGGAGTCCTTTGTCCTCATTGCTTGTTTTTGTTGACTTTGTCAAAGAGCAGATGGTTGCATGTGTGCAGGATTATTTCTAGGTTCTGTATTCTGTTCTATTGGTCTATGTATTTATTTTTGTACCAATACCATGCTGTTTTGGTTACTGTAGCCATGTAGCAAAGTTTGAAGTCGAGTAATGTGACTGCCTCCAGCTTTGCTCTAATTGCTTAGGATTGACTTGGCTTTTGAATCTCTCTTTTCGGTCTATGTGAATTTTAAAATAGTTTTCTCTAAATTTTTGAAGAATATCATTGGTAGTTTGATAGGAATAGCACTGAATCTCTAAATTGCTTTGGGCAGTATGGAAATTTTAATGATATTGATTCTTCCTATTCATGAACATGAATTTTTTTTTCATTTGTGTCATCTCTAATTTATTTGAATAGTGCTTTTTAAATCTTATTGTAGAGATGTGTCACCCTTCTGGTTGGTTATACTTCTAGGTGTTTTATTCTTGTGGCTATTTTGAATGGGATTGCTTGATTTGGCTCTCAGCTTGGATGTTATTGGGGTAGAAATGTTACTCATTTTTGTACAATAATTTTTCACCCTTAAACTTTGCTGAAGTTGTTTTTCAGATCAAGGTATGTTTGGGCAGAGACTAAGGGGTTTTCTTGGTATGGAATCCAATCATCTACAAAGATAGTTTGACTTCCTCTCATCCTATTTGATGCTTTTTATTTCTTTCTCTTGCCTGGGTACTCTGGCTTGGACTTCCAATAATATATTGAATAGGAGTGGTGAGAGAGGCATCCTTGTTTTGTGCTGCTTTTCTGGGGGAATAATTCTAACTTTTGCCCATTCAGTATGATGTTGACGATGGGTTTGTTATAGATGAGCAGTTATTTTGAAGTATGTTCTTTCAATGCCTAGTTTTTTGAGCATTGGTAAGATTTGGATTTGTATCCTCACCTAAATCTCATATTGAATTGTAATCCCCAGTGTTGGAGGTGGGACCGGGTGGGAGGTGATTGAATCATAGGGGTATATTTCCTCCTTTGGTGCTTTTCTCATGATAGAGTTCTCACAAGATTTAGTTGTATAAAAATGTATAGCATCTTCCTTCTCTCTCTATTTCTTCTGCTCTGACCACGTAAGATGTGCCTGTTTCGCCTTCACCTTCCAGCACGATTGTAAGTTTCCTAAGGCCTCCCAGCCATGTTTCTGGTACTGTCCATGGAACCGTGAGCCAATTAAACTTCTTTTCTTTATAAATCACTCAGTTTCAGGTATTTCTTTATAACAGTGCAAAAAACAAACAAACAAACAAAACAAAACAAAACAAAACAGAATAATACAAGGGTTTTAACATGAAGCGATGTTGAATTTTATCAAAAGCCTTTGCTGCACCTATTGACATGACCATGTGGTTTTGTTTTTAGTTCTGTTTATGTGATGAATCACATTTATTGATTTGCATGTATTGAACCAACCTTTTAGCCAAGGATAAAGCATACTTGATCATCGTGAATTAGCTTTTTGATGAGCTGGTGCATTTGATTTTCTAGTACTTCATTGAAGATTTTTGCATCTATGTTCATTAAGGATATTGTCCTGAAGTTTTTTGCCGTTGTTTTGTCTTGGCCAGGTTTTAAAATCAGAATAATGCTGCCCTCACAGAATAGGTTAATAAAGAGTCCCTCCACCTCAATTTTTTGGAGTAATTTCAATGGGAATGGTACCAGCTCTTCTTTATGCATCTGGTAGAATTTGGCTCTATATTTGTCTGGTCCTGGCTTTTTCTGGTTGGGAGGCTTTTTATTAATAATTCAATTTGGGGACTTTTCATTAGTCTGTTGAAGGACTCAATTTCTCTTTCATTCTTAGAAGATTGTATGCTTTCAGGAATTTACCCATTTCTTCTAGGTTTTCTAGCTTGTGTACATAGAAGTATTTGTAGTAGTCTCTGAGGGTTTTTGTATTTCTGTGAAGTCAATGGTAACATCCCCTTTGTCATTTCTGATTGTGTTAATTTGGATATTTCCTCTTTTTTCTTTGTTAGTCTAGATACAGGTCTAGCTATCTAATTTGTTCTTTCAAGAAATATATTTTTAGTTTTGTTGATCTTTTATGCATCTCAATTTTCTGTATTTCAACTCTGATTTAATTATTTCATGTCTTCTGCTGGCTTTGAGGTTGGTTTGCTTGTTTTTTTTCTAGTTTCTCTAGGTGTGATAGTTAGGTTGTTAATTTTAGAAGTTTCTAATTTTTTGATGTAGGCGTTTAGCATTATAAACTTTCCTCTTAATAGTGATTTAGCTGTGTCCAAGAGATTTTGGTATGTTGTGTCTTTGTTCACATTAGTTTCAAAGAATTTCTTGATTTCTGCCTATTTTTTACCCAAAAGTCATTCAGGAGCACATTGTTTAATTTCTATGAAATTGTATGGTTTTGAGCCATTTTCATAGTTTCAAAAGTAGAAATTGATTTCTATCTTATCGTGCTGTGGTCTGAGAGTGTGTTTAGTATGATTTCAGTTTTTTTAATTTTCTAAGGATTGCTTTATGGCTCATTGTGTGGTTGGTTTTAGAGTACGTGCCATATGCAGATGAGGTAAATATATATTCTGTTGTTTTGGGGTGGAAAGTTCTGTAGATGTCTATTAGGTCTGTTTGGTCCACTGTTGAGCTCAGGTGCCAAATATTTTTGTTAGTTTTCTGCCTCTGTGATACGTGTAATACAGTCAGTTGAGTGTTGAAGTATCCTATTGTTATTGTGTGATTATCTAAGTCCTTTTGTAGGTCTCTAAGAACTTGCTTTGTGTATCTGGATGCTATTGTGTTGTGTGCATATATTTTTAGGATAGTTAGGTCTTCTTGTTGAATTGAAGTATTTACCATTACATAATGCCCTTATTTGTCTTTTTTGATTTCCATTGGTTAAAAGTCTGTTTTGTCTGAAATTAGATTAGCAACTTCTGCGTTTTTCTGTTTATCATTTGCTGGGCAGATTTTTTTCCATCCCTTTACTTTAAGCCTATGGTTGTCATTGCACATAAGATAAGTTTCTTGCAGACAGCGTGCTGTTGGGTCTTGCCTCCTTATTCAACATGCCACTCTGTGCCTTTCAATTGAGGCATTTAGCCTGTGTACATTCAAGGTTAATACTGATATGTGTGGATATGATTCTGTCATCGTGTTGTTGGCTGGTTACTATGCAGACTTGTTTGTGTGATTGCCCTATAGTGTCAATATTCTATTTATTTATGTGTGTTTTATGCTGCCCAGTAATGATCTTTTCTTTTCATATTCAACACTCCCTTCAGCACCTCTTGTAGGAGGTGATTACAAATTCCCTTAGTATTTGCTTTTCTGAAAAGAATCTTATTTTTCCTTTGCTTAGGAAACTTAGTTTGGCTAGAGATGAAATTCTTGGTTGGAATTTATTGTCTTTAGTAATGCTGAATATAGGCATCCAATCACTTCTGGCTTAAAAGTTTCTGTTGAGAGGTCTTCTGTTAACCTGATGGGGTTTCCTTTTATAGGTGACCTGCCCCTTCTCTCTAGCTGCCTTTAACATTTTTTCTTTCATTTTGACCTTGGAGAATCTGATCTCTATGTGTCTTGTGGATGGTCATCTAGTATAGTATCTTGTAGAGGTTCCCTGCATTTCCTGAGTTTGAATGGTTTCCTCTCTGGTGAGGGTGGGGAAATTTTCGTTGATAATATCCTGAAGTATGTTTTCCAATTGACTTGCTTTGTCTTCCTCTCTTTCAGGGACACCAGTGAGTTGTAGGTTTGGTCTCTTTACATAATCCCGTATGTCTCAGAGCTTTTGTTTATTCTGCTTTAGTGTTTTTTGATTGTTTTTATTTGACTTAGTTATTTGACTTAGTTATTTTTTGACCGCTTCTGCTGTGAATACTTGAGATTGTATTCCGAAATTTTTGAAGGGAGTTTTTCAGCTTTTGTAGGTCAGTTTGGTTCTTTCTTAAAATGGCCATTTCATTTTTCATCTCCTGTATTGTTTTTTGTATTGCTTTGAATCCTTGGATTGGGTTTCAACTTTCTCCTGAATCCTGATAATCTTCATTCCCATCCATATTCTGAATTCTATTTCTGTCATTTCAACCATTTCATTCTGGTTAAGAACCATTGCTGGGTAACCAGTGTGATCATTTGGAGTTAAAAAGACACTCTGACTTTTTGACTTGCCAGAGTGCTTGTGCCAGTTCTTTCTCATCAGTGGGCTGATGTTCCTTTAGTCTTTGAAATTGCTGTCCTTCGGATTTTTTTTTTTTTTAATCTTCTTTGATGTCCTTGGCACAGGGTGGATTCAGTCAACTGGCTTTATTTCTGGAAGATTTTGGGGGGCCAAGGCTTAGCTCAGAACACTTGGACCACATGTTCTAACTCTGAGGGGCTGGTATTGGGCCCCTGGCTTTGTTCTCTGGCTCCTTGAGGTTAGGAACCTTCTGTATTGGAGGTGCTGATGTCTTCCCAGATTACTGGCCACAGCACTACACTGGTTGCTGCCCACGAAAGCACTTCATTAGGGCAGTGGTAGCAGGGTCCATGCTTGTTTGCCTGTGTCAGCAGCAGTGACAACACAGCGGGGTGCACATATATTGGCTGTGGTAAGGTACTGGTGTGAGTGGGGCTATGGCATTCCTGTATGAGTCATGCCAGTGTGGGGGTGGGGCACTGGTGGGCACAGAGCTTCTGGCTTCTATGCACGTGTTTGCACTGATGGCAATGGTGGAGTAGGGGAGGCAGGGCTCCTGGCATCCATGTACATGTTTGCACAGGCAATGGTGGTGTGGCTGATGGTTGAGTAGCAGGGTGTGCTCATGCTGGCAGCAGTGACATGGTAGGGTGTGAATGCACGCATTCATACTGGTGTGGAAGAGGAACAAGGTCCACACTCTTGCTGGTTGATATGGTTTGGCTGTGTCCCCACCCAAATCTCATCTTGAATTTCCACGTGTTCCAGCAACATATCTTTACTGTCCTACCTCAGGTGTATATCAACTCTCCAACTTTGTGTCATAATCTTATTCAAAGAGACCTCAATAGCTTTTTGTTTCCACAAGATATCACACTTGTCCATTACATTGATGACATTATGCTGATTGGATCCAGTGAGCAAGAGGTAGCAAACACACTGGACTTACTGGTGAGACATTTGTGTGCCAGAGGAGGGGAAGTAAATCCAACTAAAATTCAGGGAACTTCTACCTCAGTAAAATTCCTAGGGGTCCAGTGGTGTGGGGCCTGTTGAGATATTCCTTCTAAGGTGAAGGATTAGTTGTTGCTTTTGGCCCTTCCTGCAACCAAGAAAGAGGCACAATGCCTAGTGGGCCTGTCTAGATTTTGGAGGCAAGACGTTCCTCATTTGGATGTGTTACTCTTGCTTATTTATTGAGTGACCTGAAAGGCTGCCAGTTTTGAGTGGGGTTCACAACAGGAGAAGGCTCTGCAACATGTCCAGACTGCTGTGCAAGCTGCTCTGCCACTTGGGCCATATGACCCATCAGATCCAATGGTGCTTAAGGTGTCAGTAGCAGATAGAGATGCTGTTTGGAGCCTCTCTCAGGCCTCCATAGGTGAATCACAGCCGAGGCCTCTAGGATTTTAGAGCAAAGCCCTGCCGTCTTCTGCAGATAACTACTCTCCTTTTGAGAGACAACGCTTGGCCTTTTACTGGCCTTTGGTGGAAACCGAACTTTTGACTATAGGTCATCAAGTCACCATGTGACCTGAACTCCCTATCATGAACTGGGTGTTTTCTTACCCATCTAGCCATAAAGGGGGTCATGCACAGCAGTATTCCATCATCAGATGGAAGTAGTATATATGTGATGGGGCTCGAGCAGGTCCTGAAGGCACAAGTAAGTGCATGAGGAAGTGGCTCAAATGCCCATGGTCTCCACTCCTGCCACCCTGCCTTCTCCACCCCAACCTGCACTGATGGCCTCATAGGAAGTTCCCTATGATCATTGGACAGAGGAATAGAAGACTAGGTCCTGGTTCACAAATGGTTCTGCACAATATGCAGACACCACCTGAAAGTGGACAACTACAGTGCTATAGCCCCTTTCTAGATCATTCCTGAAGGACAGTGGAAAAGGGAAATCTTCCCAGTTGGCAGAAACTCTAGCAGTGCACCTAGTTGTACACTTTGCATGGAAGGAGAAATGGCCAGATGTGCGATTATGTACTAATTCATGGGCTGTAGCCAATGGTTTGGCTGGATGGTCAGGGACTTGGAAGAAGCATGACTGGAAAATTCATGACAAGGAAATTTGGGGAAAAAGTATGTGGATAGACCTCTCTGAGTGCTCAAAAACTGTGAAGATATTTGTATCCCATGTGCATGCTCACCAATGGGTGACGTCAGCAGAGGACAATTTTAATAATCAAGTGGATAGGATGAGCCATTCTGTGGACACCACTCAGCCTCTTTTCCCAGCCACCCCTGTCGTCACCCAGTGGGCCCTTGAACAAAGTGGCCATGGTAGCAGTGATGGAGGTTATGCATGGGCTCAGCAACATGGACTTCCACTCACCAAGGATGGCATTGGCTACAGCCACTGCTGAGTGTCTAAATTGCCAGCAGCAGAGACCAACACTGCGCCTTCGATATGGCACCATTCCTTGGGGTGATCAGCCAGCTACCTGGTGGCAGGTTGATTATATTGGACCATATCCATCATTCTACCTTTGCAGAAGGAACTAGAAGCTGAATGTTAATCACCAAGACAATGGGGGAAATATCTCCAGGGCATGTCAGAGACCTTTGCGGCAGCCCCTCCTATCACAGGCCTGGAGATCTATGAGGAAATATGGTTTTGTGAGCCAGGTTCAGGGTCCCTCTGCTGTGTGCAGTATAGGGACTTGGTGTCCTGTGTCCTCTCCAATTGTGACTAAAATGGGCCAAGGCACAGCTTGGGCCATGGCTTCAGAGGGTGCAAGCCCCAAGCCTTGACAGCTTCCATGTGATGTTGAGCTTCCAGGTGTACAGAAGTCAGGAATTGAGGTTTGGGACCCTCCACCTAGGTTTCAGAGGATGTATGGAAATGCCTGGATGTCCAGGTAGTAGAAGTCTGCTACAGGGGAGGGGCCCTCATGGAGTATTGCGGGATCTGGCCAGCAGCCTGCAATGCAACGGGGCTCTTTCTTTGTTCCCAGGCAGATCGGCAGGTCGAGAAATAATAGACACACACAAGATAGTGAAAGCTGGGTCCAGGGGGGTCACCACATTCTGGTCCCGCGATGCCGCCAATGCACTGGATATACCAGCATTTATTATTAAGTTTAGTGAGGGCAGGGGTAGGTTAGTGAGGGACTTAGGGTTATTTGATTATGAGGTGATATGGTCACATGGGGATGAAGCAATTCTTTAACATAACATCTGTATGCAGAAGTACAGTATTCAGAGATAAGAATTTACAATATAGCATGTGCATCAGTAATTTCTAACAGAGCCTTAAAACAGAAACACAGTCTTTCCATAACCTATGATTAGCAAGATATTAATCAGCAGTAACAGTTGCAATAAAAGCTGGTTACAAACAATCCATAGAAATAGGATGTGAAGCTAGACAACTGGTTAGACCAGAAATTCTAAGAAGGAAGTATGCCTTAACCCTAAAGAGGCCTAGAAGAGCTGTGGCAAGATGAGGGTGTTTATAGCCCTATCTTATCCATATGAACAGGCACCCCTCATGTGTCCATTTATAGGCTTTCCACAAGGGTCGCATTCCATTCCCAGAGCTATGAACATCTGCTTTTCTGGGATAGGAATCTTGGTGATGTGAAACCTCCCTGACTGCACATCCGTTCAGAGGCTCTCTGCAGGGGGAAGCACATCACACGCTGTTGGCTCATTCTGGCAGTTCAACCTGGCATTGTCTTTACACAATCCTGCATGCAATTTTGTATTTACAATAATCAGGAGCATTTCATCTTTTATTCCATAGCAATAGTTTCCAGGGGTCTCCCTACAATGGAGAACCTCTGCTAGGACAGTGCGGAAGGGAAATGTGGCGTCAGAGTTGCCACACAGAGTCCCTACTGGGGCACCACCTAGTGGAGCTCTGAGAAGAGGGCCATCGTCTTCCAGACCCCAGAATGGTAAATCCACTGACAGCTTGCACTGTGTGCCTGGAAATGTCACAAACACTCAATGCCAGCTAGTGAAAGCAGCCAGGAAGGGGGTTGTACCTTGCAAAGCCACAGGGGTGGAGCTGCCCAAGGCCATGGGAGCCTACCTTTTGCATCAGTGTAAACTGGATGTGAGACATAACGTAAATAATTTCGGAGTTTTAAAATGTAGCCTCTTTGTTTTGGCCAATTTCTCCCATTTGGAATGGCTGGGTTCACCCAATGCCTGTACCCCCATTGTATCTAGGAAGTAACTAATTTTCTGTTGATTTTACAGGCTTATATGTGGAAGGGACTTGTCTTGTCTTGGATGAGACTTTTGGACTTTGGACTTTTAAGTTAATGCTGAAATGAGTTAAGATTTTGGGGGACTGTCGGGGAGACATAATTGGTTTTAAAATGTAAGGAAATAAGATTTGGGAGGAGCCAGGGATGGAATGATATGGTTTGGCTGTGTCCCCACCCAAATCTCATCTTGAATTCCCATGTGTTGTGGGAGGGACCTGGTGGGAGGTAATTGAATTATGAGGGCAGGTCTTTCCCATGCTCTTCTCATGATAGTGAATAAGTCTCATGAGATCTGATGGTTTTAAAAACGGGAGTTTCCTTGCACGAGCTCTCTTCTCTTGTCTGCCACCATGTGAGATGTGCCTTTCACTTTCTGCCATGATTTTGAGGCCTCCCCAGCCATGTGAAACTGTAAGTCCAATAAACCTCTTTCTTTTGTAAATTGCCCAGTCTTGGGTATGTCTTTATTGGCACATAAAAACAGACTAATACACTGGCAAATTAGTAATGTAGTACCCTGGCAAAGTAGTAATGATGGCCATGGGTGAGTTTGTGCCAACAAAGCAACATGGGTGAAGCTGTGGTGAGATGAGGGCATAGGTAGCCTTGTGCGTTTTGGCAGGGGCCACTCTGCTGGAGCTCTCCAATGGGCAGGCATGGTCTGAAAGTAAAGGAGTTTACGATGTGGGCCCCATAAAGCACCCAAGGCTTCACTGCAAGCAGGTATTGCTGGGCTGGAGCCCTGGGGGAGGCTAGCAGACAGGGGGGCACTCAGATCAGACTGGCTCCATCTCACAGACTGCCCTCTTCTGTTCAGGCCTGGCAGTCCCTAAGGTTAAAGTCTCCTATGGGAGTATGGTGAGCCTTGGGGGTGGGCATCTGTGGCTGTGCTCCACTGCAGACATTCCTGCACCAAACCGTCTATGATCCATGCAGGCTGCTGTCCTGACCCTACCACCTCTCTAAGTAGCTTTTCCTGTCAGCTCAAGTCTGTGGGGGTTGTGTTGTCTCCTGCTGCCAGGATTCCATGGCAAAAGCAGGCCACTCCTCACCTGTTCAACTCACCCCTTCTTGAGGACTTACTGAGGGCCAGGAAGAAGTCCTGGTGCATGGTAGCCCTGTACAGGGTTTCCAGCTTCCTCCTCCTTCAGCTCAGCATCTGTGTCCCTCTTCTGTCCACTCTCAGTAACTTCCCTCTGAAAATCTGCTCAGAGTGCTGCAGTCTTCCCAATGTCCCTGTCTTCTGGTGGCAGATATCATCCTGACTGTATCTAATCAGCCTAAATTTTTAATTTATCTATTATTTATTTATTTATTTATTTATTATGGAGTCTCACTTTGTCACCCATGCTGGAGCACAGTGGCACGATCTCTACTCACTGCACCTTCTGCCTCCCAGGTTAAATGATCCTTCGGCTTCAGCCTCCCAAGTAGCTGGGATTACAGGCACCCAACACCACCTGACTAATTTTTGTATTTTTAGTATAGATGAGGTTTCACCATGTTGGGTAAGCTGCTCTCAAACTCTTGACCTCAAGTGATCTGCCTACCTTGGCCTCCCAAAGTGCTGGGATTACACGTATGAGCCACTGGGCCTGGCCCCCTAAAACTTATTTTATGTAATTGTTTTCTAGGTGTCTATCTAGTTTTTCTGAAAACAAATATTGAATTCAGTGCCACATTTACCATCTACTAAAGTCTTATATATAATAAAATATCTTTTTGTATTTTTGATTTTACTCCACCAATTTATTTGTATACCAAGAATTGTGCTGCTTTAATTCTAATAGCTTTATAGCATGCTTTAGTTTTCTTTTTTCATAATTTAATTAACTCTTCTTGCTTGTGTATTAAGTAAACTATACAATCAACTTATGTAGCTTTAAAAGCATTTTGTTTTTATTTGTATTAGAGCCTCATGCAACACATAAATTAACTCAGAACATATTAATTAATATTCTATGTTATTTAAGTTTCCTATCCTATATGATGTAAATTTCTATTTGTTCAAACATTCTACATATCTTTCACTTTTATTTTAGTATTTCCTTCATAGATCCTATGTACTTTGTCTTGTTTGTTCACAGATATTTTTTCTTTCTTGTTGCTATAGCGTAAGGATCTTTTCCTCCAACATATGATGTAAGTGCTTGTTACAATATATATGACACCTATTTGATCCTGAATAGCTTTTTTTAGTCATATTAATTTTTTTTACCATTAGTAACAATTGTTTAGTTGATTATTTTTGTTTCAAGTAAACAATCATCTAAAATAATTTTATTTCCACATTTCTATTTTCATAACGACTTTTTTCCCTTTTGCTTAATTTCCTTCACTAGCATTTAGGAAACAAACATAAATGGTAGTAGTGACAAAAGCCATGCTGCTTTGTTACTGATCATATTTGGAAAGCATCTTAGTCCATTCTTTCTGCTATAAAAATATCTTAGACTAGGCATTTTATAAATAATACAAATTTATTTTTTAGTTCAGTAAGCTGAGAAATTGAAAATCAAGATGCTGGCAGATTTCATGTGTGGTGAGGGCCCATTCTCTGCTCTGTAGATGGTACCCTGTTGCTTAGTCCTCATATGGCAAAAGGGCAAAAAGGAATGAATCATGTTTTCTCACAATGCAGGAGGAGTAAATGGACCTGGAAGCTCTCTGAAGCTGCTTTTATATGAGCATTAGCCCATTCACCAGGGCAGTGCTCTTACGACTAAATCATTTTACAAAAGGCCCCACCTCTTACCAGTAACACCATGGGGATTAACATGAAATTTGGAAGGACATTCAACATGAGTGTTTCAGTGTTTTCAAAAAGTCAAACCATAGCATTGGTTTCTAATGTTTTAAATAAAAAAAAAATGATGTCAAATTTCATCAAATAACTTCATTATCATAGAGAGGGTTACTTTTCCTGATTCCAATAATATTTTGGATAATATTCATAAATTTTAATATTGAAAAGTGTATATACACTTGGCCTTCATAGTGTATTATTCTTTACTTTGCTTCTAGTTTCTGTTTGCTGATTTTCAGTTGGAAAGTTTGGATTCATATTTATAAATAGGTTTGAACATTTTTAAAATTTTATTCCTTGCTTTCCTTTCCTTCCCTTCTTCCTTCCTTTTTTCCTCCCTCTCTCTCCTTCCTTCCTTTCTTTCTTTTTCTTTTCTTTCCTTTCTTTCTTTCTTTCATTTTCTTTCTTTCTTTCTCTCTTTCATTTTCTCTTTCTCTTTTCTTTCTTTCTTTCTTCTCTCTTTCTCTCTCTTCCTGTCTTTCTTTCTCTTTCTTTCTTGTCTTTCTTCTCTCCCTTCCTTCCTTTCTCTTTCTTGTCTTTCTTCTCTCCCTTCCTTCCTTTCTCTTTCTTTCTTTCTTCTTTCCTTCGTCCTTCTTCCTCTTTCTTCCTTTCTTTCTTTTGTTCTTTTTCTGTCTTCCTTTCTTCCTTCTTTTTCTTTCTCTTCCCTTTGGCTTTCTTTCTCTGTCTCTCTTTCCTTCCTTCCTTTCTTTCTTCTTTCTGTCTTTTTCTTCTTTCTTCTTTCTTTTTCTTTTTCTTCCCTTTGGTTGACTTTCTCTCTCCTTCCTTCCTTCCTTCTTTTCTTCCTTTCTGCTTTCATTTTCTTTCTCTTCCCTTTGGTTGTCTTTATCACTTTTTGGTATTAATGACATGAATGTTCCATTTTAAAAAATCTAAAGTTTTGCTTTATTGTGATTTCATTTACCTACAATATTCAACTTAGGTATATTCTTATATTCTTACTCTTCTCAGGAAGTGATCTGAATCATGAAGACATTGGTAGTTCTGGAGACAAACTGGGACAAAGTCTAAGGGGAATATGGAAGATGCTGGTGACAGGCACCATTTAGTTTCTTTTTTTTTTTTTTTTGACAGGATCTCGCTTTGTCCCCAGGCTGGAGTGCAGTGGTGTGATCCTGGCTTACTGCAGCCTCAACTTCCTGGACTCAAGCAATCAATCTGATCCTCAGCCTCTTGAATAGCTGAGTAACTAAGTGACAGGCACACACCACCATGCTTGAATTTTTTTTTATTATTATTTTTATTTTGTAGAAACAGGGTCTCTCTCTGTTGCCCAGGCTGGTCTCAAACTCCTGGGCTCAAACGATCCTCTCACCTTGCCTCTCAAAGTATTGGGATTACAGGAATGCCCCATGCCTGGCACTTAGTTCCTAGTATTGCCTCATTCTTTACTACAATGGGCTCTTAGATGAGGAAACATTCTGCTGTGTACAGTATACATAAAAGAGAAGTTATATATTTGTTTCAATGCTTAACTCCATACTTTATAAGGTAACTAAATACTCTTTTATCCATTTATTTCTGTTTTTTTTTTCCTAACAAGTATACATTGAGCATCTGATATATGCTAGGAATTCTGCTCAGTGCCAGAATACAGAAAAATGTTCATAAAGCAACAAATCCAACAGTATCACAGAATCAACTGATGTGAAAACTCCATGCAATATTTGCTGCAGCCAAAGAATGGGAATAAAAGCATTAAGAGACATGAGTTGAAAATGCAAGGCAGTAAGTGCCTTTTATCCCTAGAGAACTGACTACCCAAGGACATGTGCAGCACAGCATTACTAATGTAGCAATTAATCTAGTAACTTCTGATATCTCCCAAGTGGGATAGGTAGGAGAGGATGAAAGCAGAAACAGAATAATTTTCCTTTAATTTAAATGCAATTGGGAATAAGAGAAAACAAAAAAGAAAACATGGATCTTGTAGCTATTCCAGTTTGGGGTGTGTGTGTGTGTGTGTGTGTGTGTGTGTGTGTGTTTATATGTGTGTGTATGTGTGTGCTTTACTGTCTTAATTTTTTTTCTCATACATTTCAATAATATAGCCTGAGTTCAAAAGATAAGACAAGTAGCCTGATAATTTCTTTATTGGTTTTCTACTCGAAATTCTCAATCCAATATTTTTAGATTATTTTTCTTTTTTTGAGACGGAGGCTCGCTCTGTCGCCCAGGCTGGAGTGCAGTGGCGCGATCTCAGCTCACTGCAAGCTCCGCATCCCGGGTTCACGCCATTCTCCTGCCTCAGCCTCCCAAGTAGCTGGGACTACAGACGCCCGCCACCACACCTGGCTAATTTTTTGTACTTTTAGTGGAGACGGGGTTTCACCGTGTTAGCCAGGATGGGCTCGATCTCCTGATCTTGTGTTCCGCCTGCCTCGGCCTCCCAAAGTGCTGGGATTTCAGGCGTGAGCCACCGCGCCCGGCCGATTATTTCTTAACGGCTCAGAAGTAGCCATATAATTAAAAGACCTTAATGGCAACATTTATTTATTTGAATAGAAGTTTGACATAGTCTTGAAAGATAAAATAAGGACACTGCTTGAGCAGATATAATCGAGCTATGGTATAGATGTAGTGTATACCATGAAGATGTAGACATATTGTTATAATAGACCCAGTTAAATGATTATATACATACTTTTCCAGTGCAGAGAAAGACTAAGAAGTCTGTTTGGGGACACTGATATTCTTGAAATCATGGTTTAATTTTGCTCTTTTACCTTGAACACAAGAATTATTGCTTGCCTTAAAAATAGAATATATAATAAACAACCTACTGTAACTTCAAATCATACTGTTTTCTCATAATACATCACGTTATGCTTGAAATTAAGGACATATCATTATGATTAATCTTACTGTGATGCAATGTTCTTTTTCATTCAGAAATTTCCGTGAAGTGTTTATATCTACAAAAGCTAATGGTGGAGTGAGATTCTTCCTAGGAAAACTTGCCATATAAGTAGTCCTTGGGGAACTTGAGTGAGTGGAAGAGGATCTCACATAGTTTTTTTCCTCAGTGAATATTTGAAGAAATACCCCTTTCAATCTCTGAACTTGTTTCAACCATGGTTTACAAAGTGAAGGAGACTCAAAGAGAAATACTTTTCCTTTAAAAGTAGAGAATTATTAGTCTGTCTATCCTACAATCTTAATTATCCAAACAACAAAATAAATTAAAGCTACAAGTTTCTCTCTTGATTTTCTATCTATTATTTTTAATATCAGCGTGTGGCAAATTTCAAAAGAAATACAAGCAATATTTGTAATTATAAAAAGTTTAACAACATACTCTGTATCTCACTCTCTCAGGTATATCAAGACTGTTGACATGCAGAAGCAGTTCATTTAGGATCATGTTGATTTTGCTTTCTTGGTTGAAAACATACTTCTCTTGGCATGATGTTCTAACTTAAGATATCATTAGCTGGTAGGAGAGAAATGACAGTATAAACTTAGACAAGACACATTTTCCCAAAAAGAAGGATAAAGCTATGTTTGTGACTGCCTGGAGATGTACAGTGCCTCCTCTGCTAGATAGATAAGTCTAAGTTTACACCTTTTCAAGGCTTAGCGACATTATCCTTATTGATTAAAAGGAATCTAGGTTGCTGAATAAGGGGAAAAATAACATGGAGCCTTTTTAATCTTTTGTTAACTTGCCAGATAGCATGTGAATTGAGGTGGGTAGGTATGTTAGGAAGATGTAAAAACTCTTTGGTACCTGTCATGCTGAAAAGCAAATTTTGTTAAAAGTACTTAAATATTTAATAATGTCTCTATTACCTTTCTTTTTCCTATATTATCTATCCCTGAGCTAAGTCTTACCTACAATACAGTCATCCACCATGTTGTAAATCGATAAATATGTGCTGTTATCAAGAAAATATTACATATAACTGAAAATTAATCCTTTATATTCTAACAAATACTAAAAATGGTTAATACTTTATTAATCATTCACTTCATTTATTCATTTATTAACTTAATATTAGTTTAAAATTGATTAATATCTTTATGGTAGTTCTTAATCATGCTTGGTGACTCAAGAAGGTCATTATGGTGATCACGAAATACACTGTAGTTTCATGGTTGCTGAGGCACATCCATATATTTTTCCCTTCATTAAATGACACCATATTTTGACTTCTTCTTCTTTTTTTCTTTTCTTTTTTTTTTTTTTTTTTTGAGGCGGAGTCTCTCTCTGTTGCCCAGGCTGGAGTGCAGTGGGGCGATCTCGGCTCACTGCAAGCTCCGCTTCCCGGGTTCACGCCATTCTCCTGCCTCAGCCTCCCGAGTAGCTGGGACTACAGGCGCCTGCCACCACACCCAGCTAATTTTTTTAGTAGAGATGGGGTTTCGCCGTGTTAGCCAGGATGGTCTTGATCTCCTGACCTCGTGATCCGCCCGCCTCGACCTCCCAAAGTGCTGGGATTACAGGCGTGAGCCACCTTGCGCAGTTGTTTTTTGGCTTCGTTTGTTTTTTAATTTGCTTAATTTTCTTCTTTTTTCTACTGTTCCTTCTTGTTGTCATTGGACTATATACCTATAGAAGTCAAGATTGGCTAGGTAATGCTTTAAGGGGGCCAGGCAATACGATCATCCAGTGTTCCAAGAAGTAGAGAAGAAGTGGATATCAGTGAGCACTTATCTGTCTACGCAATGATCCTGTACTAGAATTTACACTAGAATTATCTCTCATTCATTTGTGAACCAGCACAGTTTTTGGTATATAGTAGGTTCTTATTAAACATGTGTAGAATAAATATGTAAAAGCTGACCCTACCAGTTTTGGAGTGCAATATGAGTTTGATGTTATATATGACATGATTTGCATATTGTTGGATTTAATTTCCACAACATTGTGCAAGATAATGTGATTATTTTCACTTTATAAAGTAGAAAATTGAACATCATGGAGATTAAGTGACTTCACTATATTCAGCCAGTTAGTAAGTAGTAAAGCTGAGATTTGAATTTGGGTCTAACCTCAGCATCATATATTTGCTGGTTCCACAGTCCTATAACCTTGTCCTCTTGCCTATTTTAATTCATTTCATCTGCTATATCTGAGAAACCAGATAATCTGTGAAAACACATGTACATCATTTTATACTTTGCTTATTTTCTAGTTTTTGACTGTATTCCAGATAGTAGGAATTTATACATACATACTCAGTTATGGCCCAAACCATAAAGTATACTGATAAAATTCATTCTATATCGAATTCTTATATGGTATTTGAAAATTGTACAAAAGCACAAATGTGGCTAGTTTAGGAAAACTTGATTATGCTAGAATCTATTAAAATTGGAATAATTTTATCATTTTTCACCAGTCCACCTTACATTTGTTTTGGTTTACAAAGTTTGATATGTATTCAATATTTTTAGAAGAATGTCACACACAGACAAGTATGGACCATGTTACACATACAAATAATCTTTCAAACAATGCCTCTTATTACAAATATTATATTTTTTTTCCAAAGCACTTTTGACAATACAAGTTGAAATATTGCAAAAAAAGAAAAATAGTCACCAAATGTGGCACATTTACTAAACAGGCAGAAACTCTTTTAATGCAGTCCGAAGTTGGTTTGCTTTTCTGAGAACAACCATGGTGACGTTTTGCCTGGCCTTATTTTGCATCTAACATTGCTAACATTAAAACAAGGGATGAAAGTTAAGAAGGGCCTTGCTTTCTTCCAAATTAAAAAAAAATGCCATTAATGCAAACAAGGTTGTTGACTACTATGTACTGAACAGGAAGCTCTTAGAACCTGGAGCTGAGCCATTTCGATCACAATGACAACACTGGATTCACTTTTTAAATGTGGACTTACGATGCAAAAACAAGAAAAGATTGAAATGGGAGCGGATAAATAAAATCGATGTCACCTAAGAATAATTTGTTTGTTTCAATTACATTAGGATCTTCTTAGCCCCTGTGAAAAGTGTATTCCCCCTCTCACTCCTGGTGAAAATCTCATTTTGCTCACAAACATTTTAACACATGTAAGGGTGTATAGTTGAGTTCTCTGGCTAGAGATAACTCATAGCTGAATTTCAGAAAATAGACATGATCTTAGTCTTTTTATTAGAAGATTAATACAAATGAATGGAAGACTTAGAGCAACTCAGCTAATAAGCAAGTGAGACAAGTTGATTCTGTTGCCAAAGCACATTATTATGGATAAATAAAACCTTCAGAAACTCAGAAGAAGGGTCTTGCCTCATTCTAGCTAAGCTGTGTAAAAAGGAAGGCAGTTCGACAAGGTGTAGACATTTATTTGAGGGAAGAAAGGATATGTGTTGGCACATGGGTCTTTAACTCTAACAATACTTTGCTCTTCCCACCTCTCATGTTGCTACTACTTTCCCAAAACTGATCTCCCTGAAAAGGAAATTATTCACATAAAATGCTTAGAGAGTACATTAGTGAGATTAGTGTAAGCTATACTATGATAATTATGGTAACACACAAACTCAAGTATCAGTAGCGTAACCTAATTAGGTATACCATGGATGGGATGACTTTTCAGAGCCTCTCCTATCCAGATGGTGACCCAGAGATTTATTCTGTTTGCATCTTTTGCCTGTAACCACTTCCAGGTGATGAGCTGGGGAAGAATGAGCTGGCGGGAGCACACTGACTCTCGTATACCTTGGCTAGAAATGTACATATATCAACTCAACTCACGGTCTGCTTGCCAAAAATTGGTCAAATGGTCCTATTTATCTTTGAAGGGACTGAAAGATACAGAAAAGCACGTGGAATTTTGGCGTGGATCAATATATCTACCCTGGGGAGCCAGTTTTAGAATGCTCCGACAAGGAATAACAATATTTATTATAAGGGAGACATAATAAGAATATTTCATATTTAAAGGCTACCTATCTTTTAAAATAGGGGAAAAAGGCGTTTTTATCTTTGGAAAGACATGTTTTCCCATCCATCCATGTTCATGTAAGCTTTTCATGCAGAACACCGTCAGCAAATTTTGTATTTTAAAGAAAAATTGCTGAGCAAGATGTAATCGGGTTTCTTTTCACAGTCATCTGAAACAGCTAAGAACTTTTCTTTTTTTTTTTGCCATTTCATTCCATTTTATTCACTTCTTAAAGTTTTCATTTAATTCACCACATATACAAGGAACAGTCTCAACATTCCTGTCCTCCAAACCATAGCCCTCTCTTTAAATTGAAGTTCAGAGTCCATTGCAGAAAACCTCTCAAGGGAAATTTCCCTCAATTAACTATGGCTCATTCTTTGATCTGTGCAATCCTCTCCTTATCACTCCCTGTCAGAATAATTCTTTGTATGTATTCATATTAATTGAATACTGACCTATCTCATCTCTTTTAAAGATTATAAAATTCTCAGCACATGAGTCAGGTCTAATCTCAACTATATACTTTAAGTTCCTGTTACAGTGCTAAGCATCTGTGGATACTCAGAAAATGTCACTGGCCTATTTATAAGGACTTGGAATTCTATATGTAGGGTTTGGAATCCCCCATGACTTTACTAAATTTTTTGATTAATTTTTTCATGTTCATCAAAAAGAACATTTCGATGAATAAAAAGTAAGTCATTTAGCAGAGTCTGTTTTATAGCCCTTTTCAGCTTTGTAATAATGAAGGAGAAGTTGGAAGAAATGTTGATACCCTAAGACAGTAATGTATTCATTGCATCCCAAAATGTACTGTGAGTAATTCTAAAGTTCAAAAGTAATTAACATTAACAAGCAAATAATAAAAACAGAATTATCCTCAGAAAATAGCACATGTAGAATGCAGTTGACAGTTTGGAATAGGTTGTTGCCAAAAGAAACCCTCTGCTTATTTTCCAGCTGTGGCAGTTTGCTGCAAATTTTATGGATCTGAAAGTGTGTTCTAACCTAGACCTGTTGATTTTTGATGACAGTCTATAGAGTTTTAAAACAAAAATATTTTGCCTCATTCACTTGGTCTTACTGAAGTATTTTCTTGCTTTGCATACTTTTGTTTTATTCTTTCAATATCATATAAAAATAACTTAAATCCATCTTTCCCTGAGTAAAGAGAACAAAATAATAGAGCAACTGCATATTCTAAATAAATAGATCTTAATTCTAGCTACACATCATTAGAGTCATCATGGATGTGTTTATAAATCCTCTGCTTGACCCTGCCCTAAATGACTTTCTTTTGATTGGTCCAGAGGAGTTGGGCATTAGTACTGGTTTTTTTTTTTTTTTTAGGTCATCTTGGTTTTTTCAAATGTTAAGCTGGCAGTCTGATTCAATATTATAAACACCCACCACTAAGTTTGGCTCTTTTTCTTTGTGATCAGCTAAAAATGATAAGAATCTTACTAAATCAAGAAGTCTCCCAAGAATCAACCCCATCGATTTCACTCTGGCTTTTTATTTTAGTTTTCAAGAGTAGAGAAAAATATGTGTAACCAGAATGTGTACAGGTAAGTAAAAATAACTGGGATTTCATTAGATCTTTTAATCCCCAGATTCATTTACTTGATTTTGTGTGTGTGTGTGTGTGTGTGTGTGTGTGTGTGTATGTGCACGTGTGCACTTTGGAAGGTTAGGAATGGATTTTAAAATGACCTAGGAAACAGAAATATTTAAGCAAACACTTAAAATATTACTAAGATATGTATCAGAATTGTGTGTCTGCTTTGAATATGAATTGCAATTATAAGTGAAGGGTCAGTAACTGAGAGTCAAATAAATCATACTATAGCCTTTTGAAAGAAGCTTCTCTAGATAGTATATTGAGGAGGGTAAGAAACCTAGTAGAAAACACCTATTTAAGCCCTCAGCTCTTTATGAAGTTTGGGGAGAGGCAGCAGTTGATTGCATCCCATTGTTCTGTTGGATCGAAGGTTGCCTAAGAAGCAGGACAGCAAGAGAGAATGAACCAAGAATCATCAGTCAAAAATAAATAATTCCAACTAGATCTATGAGCATATCAAGTCAGGATGGGAGAACTGAAACCAGGAAGCAGAGCAATCAGAATAAGACATTGGAAGCATCAGAGCAGGAGGTAAGTGGTGATCAGAAGAAAAAGAAAAGGGAGAGTCAGTAACAAGGCGGTAACGTTACAGGGAGGAAGCAGGAATGAGTAAAAGAGACTCAGGGATCTTCTTAGGTGCTCCTCTTTAGGAAGCTAGTGTGCTGCTGGGCAGAACCAGGAAAAAGGCAGAATTAGACATAAGTATACTAGAATGAGCCCTATATTTATGCATTGCTTCATTCCTTATTCAACAAATATTTATTGAGTACCTAGTATGTACCAGGCACTATGCTGAGTCCTGGAGAAAGTACAGGTGAACAAGATGGACCTTCTGAACAGCCTTCCTTCTCTATTCCCCACTATGCCTTATCAGTGAGACCTTATTCTTCTAGTTGCTTTGGTAGGACAGGCTCCTTAGGTGATTTTTTTGAAAGGTTGTTTGTTGTTGTTGCTTTTTTTTTTTTTTTAGCAACGATGCATAATGTGATAGACTGTTATGTTTGCCCTGTTTGAGTTTATATTTCCACAGGCATGACCAATATTCACATTTATCATCTTCAAATTATACTGATTTTAAAAGTTTATTTTTAATTGTGCAATTCTCACTGGTTTCCTCTTGGTAATGAGCACCTGAGAAGAACTGATAAAGTATTCAAACTGCTCCTTGAATATCCTATTTTAAAATGTGACCAAATGAGGTCCCTGCTTTGAGAAGACATGGAAAGAATGTTAAGAGCTACTGTCTTTAACAAAGATCACCGAAGAGTATTCCTTCCACCGGCAGTGGGAGCTTCTCATTCCCCCATGAGTCTGGTAAATGCTCAGGCACACACTGTTGCTGAGGAATAACCGAAACTCAGGAACAATCGTATATTTGTATGTTTCCTCCTTCCAAACTCCTGACTCTATTCTAGCTCAGATAGATATGAAGGAGTACGGTAATAAAGCATGTATACTATGAAATTGTACTAATTGGATGCATAAAAGATCACAAGTGCTGTGCAGAAACTCCATTCAAAGGGCCTAAGCTGTAGACATGCAAAACCTGCTGCTTCAGGTGGGCACTGAAGCTACCGTTATAATAGCAGGGCGTGGGCAGTCCTATTTCCTCCATGTCCTTTCCCACATGGCTTTCTCAGCAGGCTGCATTATGACTTTTACGGACCCTAAGTATCATGAACCCCTTACTTCATTAAACAATAAGATTTTATTTTTGATACAGTTGGTATACAAAGATAGTAATTAAAATATTTTTTAATATTTTCTTTCATCTATTATAAAAGTTCACTTTTTTTCCTTCTGATTTTGAAGAAATGTAAAACATTTTATGGGCTCCTAAAAGTATTGTGAATCCTGGGCAACCTGTCCAGGGTACTTAATGGATAAGGTGTCCCTGCCTCTGGGGTCAGTACCACTGCATGCTCCTGCCATCGACTCGTGCCACCCGATTGCCATTTGCTTTTTCAAAATGCAAGCACAAACTTTAGATTCCTTTTTTTTTTTTGGAATAAAAGGGCTCTTTACTGCTCACAAGTTTATTTCTTATTATAAAAATCATTCCCCACCCCTTGCTTTTAGTAATCCCTCTTTACTCCTATTTAATCCTGGATGCCACAATTAGACAGAAAGCAAGAACTTTTTTTTCTTTTTCTTCTGTAGCAGTGGACACCTTATGAGTAGATAGATATTAACTGCTCCAGGTCTGTCAAGTAGATGCATTTCCTTTGCTTTTGATTTTCACTGAGTAGAAAAAAACCTCTGTTACTTGTTACTTTATGACATAGAGACTCCACTGAAATAGCTTAACAAAATGAAAATGTAAAGTGAACCACAGCAATGGTGTGACTAGGGGTGCAAAGTGGATGATGCATTTGAAAGACAGAAGCAGACAGAGAAAGAAAGAGACAAGCAGAGAGACAAAGACAAGAGGCAGAAGGAAAGAGATAATACAGAGAAAAGTAGTTGCTCTGATAGTAATGTGAAGAGAAGTCTAAAAGGCAAGAGTACATAGTGCTAAAGGACAAAAACATGGACTTCCAACTTTCTCTTCATTTTCTTCCTAAGATCATTACCTCTAACCACCTCCACTCAAAATAATTTCCCAAAAGTCATGTTTCCACCAAAGTCTTTATCTTCACTAGCCATCAATGGGAAAAAAAAAAAAGGTGATAGGAAGAGAGGGTTGCTCTAGTTATTACTTCTGCTTAACAGACTACTCCAAAATTTTAGGGTTCAGAACAAACATTTTTTGTTTGTTTGTTTACAGCATCTTTGGGTCAGGAATTTGGTCATCTTTGGGACAGCAAGAATGCCTCGCCTGTGGTCTGTGTTGTCTGCGGCATCAACGAGGAGGACTCCATGGCTGGAGATGACTCACGAGGTGGGAGCTGGAATTGCCTGGAGACAATTTCACAGTGGTTGAAATCAGTTATGGGCTGGAGTCCTAGTGGGGGGCTGTTGTTTAATGTACCTAAACGTGGCATCTTCATGTGGCCTGGGTTTCCATTGCTCACAGCATAGCAGCTTTGGGGTAGTGGCATTTCTTACATGACAGCTCAGAGTTCCAACAGGGAATGTTCCAAGAAAAACAGATGGAAGCTGTGTGTCCTTTTTTTTAACCTAGCTGTGAAAATTACATGGCATAAATTCTGCCATACTTTTTGAGTTTAAACAGAGACATGTCCTGTCAGATGTATAAATGGGGTGCATATAGGTCCTACCTCTCAATGGGAAGAGAGTCAAAGAATGTGTGGACATATCTAAAACCACCATAGACAGGTTTTAGCTAATTCTTCAACTCATTACTTTCTATCTCTGCTGAACATTATTAAGAACATTAGGTTCCACTGGGCGCTGTGGCTCATGCCTGTAATCCCAACACTTTGGAAGGCCAAGGTGGGCAGATCACGGAGTCAGGAGTTCGAGACCAGCCTGGTCAATATGGTGAAACCCCGTCTCTAATTGAAAAAAAAAAAAAAATTAGCTGGGCATGGTGGCGTGTGCCTGTACTCCCAGCTACTCGGGAGGCTGAAGCAGGAGAATTGCTTGAACCCGGGAGGCAGAGGTTTCAGTGAGGTGAGATCGCGCCACTGCACTCCAGCCTGGGTGACAGAGCAAGACTCCATCTCAAAAAAAAAGGATATTATGTTCAAATAATCCTACTCAGCCTTCACTAAGACAACAGAGCCTACCCTGTCATAGTACATCTTTCTTATGTAGAAAAATAACTAATACTCCATCAAATCACCTCCAAATTAAGGAACCCATTCACCCTAATTCTGGGGCTGTTATTGAGGAAATGCCCCTATTTTGTTAGAGGACTTATTTTCTTATGCTATAGAAATGCAGGCTGTAAGGTCCAATGTAGTCAAAATAAGTCATTATGTCTGCGTACGTAAGTGAGAATCCTACGATAAAGCTATGGACTCAGCAGAGCACCTTAGTAAATTATAATGAGGTTACTTCAAGGAGAAATCTGAGATGCTAATCTCCAAATTTCTTAGGATTAATTCTTTTCTGACCCGTCCACATTTTAGTTGACTGCTTGGTATGTATCATTAACAAAATATCTCCTGATTTAGTACTAACCTGTCAGCGCCTATGAAATGCCTTATGTCTCTTACTATCTGAGCTGTTACTCATACTGGTTTCTTTTCAATACCTATAGTACTTTTTCTTAGATATTTTCAGAACTGTAATTATACACTGTACAATTTATAGTCTCAAACTAGATGAATAAATAAAGGAATGAATAAGTTTACTGTTTTTAATTATTTCATGCTCATTGATCTGGTCTTCCAAGGTTTTCAATTCTGTAATACTGTGTCACTTCCTCTTGAGTACACCCTATATAGCATTTAACCTTCCTTTATTGATTAAATTAAAAGTATTTATTATCAACTATAAACACAAAACTCTATTTAGAAGTATGGTGACAGGTGAAACATTGACTGGAAGTCTACAGAAATGCCAATATCTTATTTATGGCAAATTGACTGTGGGTGGCACAGGGGTGACCTGGAAGGAAAAGGAAATGATGCTTTCTATATCTGTTGTGCTGAGATTGGACTTGAACCTACTTACTAGGAAACAGAGCCTATGTGAAGGAAAGGAACTACACATCCATTTAGCCTAGTGGTTGGGGTGGGATGAGGATTAGGAAGATGAGAGGAGTGTGTTGTACTTCGGATTCAGGAACTAAGCAAAGACTCCAAGTTCAAGGGGATTTTCAATTATCATTATATGAGGAAGTCAGGAACTGTAATAAAAGAATGATGACTGTAAGAACATATTAAGATTCTTTGCAATTAGTCTATGTTAGTTATTTTTATTGTCCTCTGTCTATTTTTCTGCCATAGTTAACAGCAAAATTCTTGACGCTAAAAATCACAGTGGCTTATTCAGTGGCAGCAACCTCCTGGCCCATTCTATAGGGCTGACTTGGATAAAAGGTCAAAACATCGTAGAAATACAAAATGATTGTGTTTCAAGTGGCTGCCTCAGGACAAATGAATAGTCTGGAGCTCGGCTTCCCCTGAGAAAAACCTTGGAAGAGTAACAAAGAATAAACAAGCAAGCAAACAACAAAACAACAAACAAGCTTATTTATATCTCTTTGACTTAAAAAACAATTTAGCAGTAGACTATGCTTTTAGAAGCAATCTCCTCCACTCCAAAGTTACTATAGTGTCATAGACAGTGACAATTAATTAATGTTACTCAGGGGCCAGGACAGAAGCCCAGAGCACTGCAAGGTTTGTCTGAGCACTGCAAGTGTCTGTGCACTTACTCTTGTTCCTTTAAGCTTTTTTACCCTGTCAGTTGCACATCAAATAACGTCTCTTTGCAAGTGTGGCTTATACTTCCCAGATGGGTCTCCAAGGCCCCTGCCCTCATTAGGCCTCTCTACCATCCATGGATTGACCTGGGCATCTGGAAGGAACTTCAGCTTCTGTTTCATCCTCCTTCCCCAACCCCATGCCTGTCTCCTGCCCAAAGTAGTGGGGAAAATATTTTTTGTGAGAAAGACCTAAATGCGTTGATTATTTTAGAAACATATCCAGATCAAGAACTGGCTATTTGGAGGCAGTATATTGGCTTCCTCTATAAGCTGGAGTCTCCTTTTAATTAGCTAAAGGTAAAGTATGCCTCTAGCCATGAAGCCTAAGTTGTGTATCAATTCGTGGCTTTTAAACAGAAATATCAATTTTTATTACTTTACCAGCTCAGACTTGGCCCTTCTTTCCTATTGAATTATATAGGACTGAGACAGGCCTGAACACTAGAAAAGATACAAACACGAGAGACACTCAGTCCTCAGTGCACTTCCTTTTCAGATTTTCAGATTTCCCTCTACCTGGCTTTATGGGCTCTTTTGAATAAACTTTCTCCTGAACTCTTCAACCTACAATTAATTCAAGAATTATTATATGGATTCAAGGACAGAAATACGACTATTTCATTTTAATACACATAAGGTCTAGCTTCTCCATAAAATCTTAAGCTTCTTTTGGGAAAGATATACGTTGTGTATGATTTCATGTCTTTTGCAATATTGAGTAGAGCACTCACTGAGGATATATTGTTAAAGGCCAGGTTTTTGAATTTTTGAATTTCTGGAATTCCCCAGGGTCAGGTGCTGTTTTTTTTTTTTTTTTTTTTTCAAGTGTTCTAGTTTAAGGCTGGGCTATGTCTGGTACGTACTTTGCTCAAGGGGACAGAGAAGTGGAAGCTGCCAAAGGAATGCCAATGCGGGACACAGTTCCTCGGAGGTGGTGACTAAACTGTGTTGAGGAAAGGAGACGAAAGCCAGTGAACAGAGCTCTAGGGAATGGGAGGAAAACAGCCAATTGACAGAATCTCAAACAGGAAGACTGGGGTATTTTTTTTTCTTACCTGCAATTTTTATTTTTATTTTTTATAGAAAATATGTATTATACATATATTTTTGAAATGTTAAAAAACAGCTTCTGCTTAAAGTCTTAAAAAACCTAAGTTTCAAATTAGAGTAATCCCAAACAATTTCAATGCATTTTGACTTTAATCCAGATTTTATATACTATATAAATTGTAAGTGTGAATGAAGCATACATGCATTTTTATTGTATTTAAAAACATTTTTTTACTTTAACATGTCTCCTTGTTTCCATTTTTCTAAATTTCCTCCTTTGTTACATTGTTATTTTATCCAAAAGAGATTGCCTAATACTCACTATTCTATATATTTCTGTTCTCACTAAACAATAAATCATAAAAATCACACTAAATCAATTGTTCACTGATATAGTTTTACTTCATTTTTTAATGGCTGAAGAGTAGTTTGTGATATAAGTTTACCATATTTTTAACCATTTCTCTATTGAAGGGCCTTTTGCTTCATATTCATTATTTGGCTAGAGTGAATTAAACTGTGATAGATGCATATCCTGTACTTTTTTTTCCTACTTATTTGTGCTTTATTTTATGCTTGGACTAACAAGAAGAAGGTTTTCTGTGTCACAGAATAGATGCATTTTAATTTTAATGGACATTGCATTCCAAAATGTCTATAATACTTTAGATTTTATACTTTCCAGTCAAGTCATCACCATTTTAAACTGTTGCCAGCCTCAGCAGTGTAATGTGATATCTCTTTGTTACTTTAAAGTGCATTTATGTGACTAGCTGTCAGTTTGAGCATCTAGTCTCTGTGAATTGCTTCTTTAGCCTTTTTTTCTGTCGAGCTTCTATTCTCATCTTGACAAATTTTCAGTGTCCTATGTGTATTATAGAAACAATCTTCTGTCTGTATTCTCCATTGCATGTATTTTTTTCAAAGCCTATTTTATGTCTTTTGATTTTGTCTGTGTTATCTTTTGCTACAGATTTATATGCCTTATCTCTTATAGTTTCTGGGTTTTCAGTCTTAGTTAAGAAGGTCACACTTGCCCCTAGATGTGCATATAATCTCCTAGATTTCTGCAAAAAAATGTTAGTTTTACTTTTTACAAATATGACTTTAATACATCTGAAACTGCTTTTTTTTTGTACATAATGCAAAACATGAATAAATAGCTGACCGTGCCAGGGCTATTTGTTAACCATCCATCCTTTCTCAGTGAAATGAAAGACAACTTTGTCAAGTATAAAATCTGCTATTATAATACTGAATTGATTTCTAGATTCTGTCTTTCTTCTAAGGATTTATTTATCTATGTCATGCTGTTAAAAGAATGACTGGATATTAGTACTTTATAGAATTATATAAGATACTTAGCATTTTATATTTCTATAGCTTTGTCCACTTTTACTATTTATCATATGTATGTAGGCAGTCTATGAAATCTACACTGGCATACAAAGAGTTAAGATAATTTTTTTAATTCTGAAAATTCATAGTTGGGATTCATATTATAATTGAATAATATAAAATCGGTATGTTAATTTTAAAACATTAATAATTTTTATTACATCATTTCCCATCTAGAAACCTAATCTGTCTTTCCATATGTTGAGGAATTTGTTTTATATCCTTCAATGAGATTTTATAGTTTTGTTCATGTAGGTCCTAAGCCTTTGAAAATATTTTCTTAAGCATATAAAAGATACACTATATATGGGTACATTTTATTGCAGTTACTCAATTCCAACAAAGTTTATGGGTTCCATTTTATGGGATCTACAGCAATAAGTTAAACATGTGATTGTGTGTGTGTGTTGTGTTAAAACAGCATATCATTAGCCTCTGTATCGTAGTCTAAATATAAAGTATGGGTCTTTCCTTTCTCCTACCTATAATTACCTTAATGTAGATAGTTTATAACCTCATATCTCTTCAACCTGTTCTAGAGTCAATGACTCTATATAACCCATGTCTGTCTACTATCAACTGCCTTATTAGTAAATCGTCCTTTTTCCCAAAGGAGCTGATGCAATCACCAACTCTTGTCATTCAGAACCAGAACATGAGCTTCTGATTGACTCTTAGAAGTGCTGCAGGCTCCACGATTTACACAGCAGATTTCTATCTGTCTGTCTATCTATTTATCTAATCATCTATCTATAGGCATATGGGTGACCTAAAATACACAATACATCCCAATTTCACTTGAAGTTTATGCATGTATTATTTGTTGTACAAATCATTTGAGAAAATATAGGTTTGGACCTCAGATTTTATTTTTGTGTTTTTGTTTTTTTTAAAGCTATGGACCAAATTCTAGTTCCTACTTAGAGCAACAAAGCAAATAAAAATCCATAACATAAATCTAGTGCAAGTTAGTTGGTGACCAGACACATTGTACCCAGACAGCCATGCCAATTAGAATCCTGCTTTGTACAGTAGCTGTTTTGAGTCACAGCCAAAAGTTTCCATTTGCACAACAATAGAACAGATGCTAAGTTATACTCAAGGACCTATGATTTGTGTAATAAAAACTGAGACAAAACATAGACCCTACAATTTAAAGCTTAAATATGGCAAAACTCATTTTAAAAGACTGACTTATAAGGAATTAATCACAGCTTAATTTTGCACCCAAAGTTGCTCTAAGTAGGAACTAGAATTTGGTCCATAGCTTTAAAAAAAAAAACAAAAACAAAAACAAAAAAACAAAAAACAAGATCCAAACCTATATTTTCTCAAATGATTTGTCTATTTGTCTCTGTTTGTCCTATTCTGGGCTACAGAAATTCATGGCTCCCATTATTAGTAAACATACCAAGAAGGAACAAATTTGAGGGCCTGCATTTGAATCCTTGCTCTGATATAATGAGTTGTAAAAGCTTGGACAAAGTAAATTTCCAATACCACATCTATGAAGTACTATACACTTTATATTAGTGGTTCTGAACCAGGACCAATGGTGGTTGTTACTACCAGGAGGAGGCTACTCACACCTAGGGGCTAGAAGTTAGGGATCCTGCTAGACATCCTACAATGCATAGGACAGTTCCCACAACAAAGAATTATTCAGCCTAAAGTATCAATAGTGCTGATGTTGAGAAACTCTGCTTTATAGGAGTTTTGTGAAATAAATGGGATACTGCTTATGAGGTACATTGAACAAAGCACCTGGCCTGTAGTAAACACATACACTGTCACTGCTCTCATTATTATTGCAATTAATTATCTGAACTCATTTATTTTTTCCATTCAGCATTTTCTGAGAACAATTTGTGGTTGCTTGTAGGGAGAGATGAAGTGGTGAAGTGCAATATGGTGAGTGCCGAATTATGAAGTAAGCAAAATGCCATAAAAGTAATGACATATTAAAAGACATTTACTGGTAACTGTCTTATGATATGTCCAATGGTTTAAAACATTTACTCTCTTCTATGAATGCTTTCCCGGCTCACAGCACTTTCTCTAAATTAGCAACTCAGGGTAAGGTGTTTTTTTTTTGTTTTGTTTTGTTTTTGTTTGTTTGTTTTTTGACAGAGTTTTGCTCTGTTGCCCAGGCTGGAGTGCAGTGGTGCCATTTCGGCTCACTGCAAGCTCTGCCTCCTGTGTTCAAGCCATTCTCCTGCCTCAGCCTCCCCGAGTAGCCAGGACTACAGGCATGTGCCACCACACCTGGCTAATTTTTTGTGTTTTTAGTAGTGACGGGGTTTCACCGTGTTAGCCAGGATGGTCTCAATCTCCTGACCTCGTGATCCGCCCACCTCGGCTTCCTAAAGTGCTGAGATTACAGGCGTGAGCCACCACGCCCAGCTACTCAGGGTAAGCTCTTAAAGTGAGCTTCATCACATACTAAAATAAACAAACACCAACATTATCTGTATAAAGTTTCTGTCTTCTATTCCTTAAATTTGATCAGATATGATGCAACAATGTGGCATCTTATATAAAATGCTGTCTTAAAGATAAGAAAAAGGCCGGGTGTGGTGGCTCACATCGATAATCTCAGCACTTTGGAAGGCTGACACAGGAAAGTTGCTTGAGGCCAGGAGTTTGAGACCAACCTGGGCCACATAGCACAACCCCTTCTCGGAAAAATAGCCAGGCATGGTAGCGAGTGCCTGTCACCTAGCTACTCAGGAGGGTAAGAGAAGAGTATGGCTGGAACCCAGGAGGTTAAGGCTACAGTGAGCCATGATCCCACCACTGCGCTCTAGCCTGAGTGACAAAAACCCTATCTGTAAAAAACAAATTAGTTAATTAATTAAATTAAGATAATAAAAAGAAAAACACACATCCACTGAATTAATGATTATATAATCTGAAAGACCAAAATACATAAATGTTGTATGTGCTAGCCTTGAGGCTAGTAAACCACCAGATGGATAACTTAAACTCTGCTGTGATGTAACTCAAGCTCTATTCTATTTGGTTTGCAGTAGGACTTTTTGATTAATGAATAAAACCTGACATACTAAGCAAAGTGAATAGAGGTTTTAGTTAAAGATTAATATTAGATCAGCCAAGCCTTACTGCATTTACATTTGAACAATTAAAGAGCTCTCGCTCTATCGATTTTAAGACAGTGTCAAAGAGTGGTGGTAGAACCAGCAACTTTATCATTACCAGGCAAATTGTTAGATATGCAAAGCCTCAGGCCCCTAACCCAGATTTCTGGAATCAGGAACTCTGAGGGTGGGCCCAACAATGGGTGTTTAACCACAGCCCTCCAGGTGATGCTGATGCACACTGAAGTTTGCCAACTGCAGTACTAAAATGAACAAAAGAGGAAGCTGCCTTCCGGTGATTCCTCGAAATAATTTATCTATATGGATTTATTCTCCATTTCTCAAGGAAGATGCAATCTCGATTCACTTTTGCTGAGAGTTTTTTCCTCTTAACGAAAACACAAGGGATTAATTTACCTCGATTTGCAGTCTCAACTAGATTTGCAGTGGACCTAATAATAAGAGAGAAGTTTCCTGACTTGGTTTCCATGGCTCTAGACTTCCTCTTGTTAATGCACAGGATAAATTACCTTGTGTAAAGGGAAAAAGGAAGAATTTTGGGATTGAACAAAGTTTTTACCACTTATAGCTAAGTGACTTTGAGCCAGTTACATTACCCACATTATCCTCAATAAATCAAGGAAAAACTAACATCATAATAATATTGATTCTTCAGACTTGCTACTTCTCTATGAACATGATACCTCTCTCCATTTATTTTGGTTATCTAAAATTGGCTCAGAAAGGTTTTGTAATTTTCCGTATAAAGGTCTTATACATAATTAGTTAAATTTACTTCTAGGAATGTTGTTTGATGCTATAATATAATACATGCATTTTTAAAAATCTGTAGTTTATTAATAGCTTATAATAATACTATTGATTTTTATATTTTGATATTTTATTCTGTGATGTTTAAATACTACTCATTACTTATGTAGTTTCTTGGTAGATTCTTTTATATATGTAGATCATCATGTTCTCTGAGAGATATATAATTTTGACACTTTCCTACATTTATGGCTTATATATATTTTTCTGCCTCATTGCATTGGATTGAACCTCTACAGCAATATGGACAATGAGTTGTCAGAGAAAATATTCTCAGTGTTAATGAGTTCAATATTTCACCATTAAATGTGGTCTTAACAGTAGGTTTTTTTGTGGATACCATTTTCTTCTATTCTTAGTTGCTCAGAATTTTTATTCTGAATTATTGAATTTAGTCATTTTTTTTGTTATCTATTGACTGGAACATAAGACTTTTCTTTCTCTTTCTGTTTATGTAGTATATTCAGCAGTTTGTTGAATAAACTCCTATGATAGCACCTATAATATTTTACCTAAGTTATTCAATTATTTATCTATACTGTGCAGTAATCAGAGTTCTGCAAATAAACAGAACCAATAGAATGTGTGTCTATAGAAATAGATTTGTTTTAAAGAATTGGCTCACCTGATTGTGGAGGCTGGCAAATGCACTCTGCAGGGTGGGCTGGCAGGCAGGAGACCCAGAGGGGAGTCCATGCTGCAGTTCAAAGGCAAAGATGATCTGTTGCAGAATTCCCTCTCATTTATGTGAGGTCGATCTATAGTTCCATTCAGTCACCTTCAACTGATTGGATGAGACTCCTCCACATAATGAAGCACCCAATGCTTTACTCAAAGTTCACTGAGTAAATATTAATCTCACCTAAAAACACAGAAACATCCAGGATAATGTTTGACCACACATCTGGGCACTGTGGACACCTGAAATTAACCATCACATATTATTGCTTTTCCTTCACTGGCTGTGCATTCACCATGTTGTACACTTTAATTATATACAATTTTTATTTGACAGTTCACCTTGAAATTGGCCTGATTTCCCCATAGAACTTATATTTATGATTTTCCTTGAATGGAACTAGAAATTTACCTTCCTTGTCTTAGAGCTTGAAAAAATTACATGTGTCTTATCTAAGTTCCTTTCTCAGGAAACCAACCGTCAGGTTTCCTGACAGTATCAAGGAACTGAAACTTACCAGATCACTGCATCTGGCCAATAAGACGCAAGACCCCCCATTCATCGTGATTGCCTAACAGACCACCTGCTACCCATTGACTAACTCCTCTTTTGTACACTTCCCTAATTTCTGTTTTTCCACATGTAATTACATTTCTTCCATGCTCTATAAACCCTTAAGTTTAGTCACTTGAAGAGATGGATTTGAGATTAATCTTCCATTCTCCTTGACTGTAGCATCCACATAAAGCCTCCTTCCCCGGAAATACTCATTGTCTCAGTGATTGGCTTTCTGTGTGGTGAGCAAAACCCCTGGTGTCTCAGTAACAATCTTAATAAAACAGGAATTTAAAAAAATAATAATAATATAAATGTACTGTATGAATCTTGTAGCATGAATAGCAAGGAATTAAGAAAAACTAACCCCCTCCCCCCAACATTTCCTTTTTCAGGAAGGGAAAAATCAATATCTTACAGTACAGTTTCCACTCTAAGAAATACTACACATTTTATGTTACAAGCAAAATTTTATGGTATAGTTTATGAAATAAAATTGAACCTCATAGTTTTTAATTTATTTGTACAATAATGTTTCATTTAGGCACTGCCCCATCCTCCTTTTAACTATTTACTATATAATTTTGGTCATAACTTAAAGTGGATTTATTTTCAGTGCCTTTTTAAAGTTAACAAGTATCTTTGGATACTGTAGTTGCCCTGAGTTCAACTCCATGTTTTATAAAACAGGCACAGTCTTCCTTTATGGGAGGAGGAGTTTCTTTCTATGTCTTTGGTTATTAGAATTAGAAAAACTGCCTTGATCAGCATACATTAAATTTTTGAAAGTTAAGTTTTTCACCTCTTGTGAGACTAATTCTATCATATTCTTCATTTGTTGATGATTATGATGTGACTTCAATTTACCCTTCCTAATGTGATTGTAAATTTTCATGTAATGAAAGAAGAGGCACAACCAAGATCACTGCACAGCATTAGTAACACGTAGAAAATATATTTCACATTCTGAGATGAGATAAACTCTTAGCTCTCAAGGTCACAGAATGCTGACAGTTAATTGGCCTTTTGAGAAATCTTGAGAGAAGACTGAAAATTGCATTCAAGTATTATTCAAGATTTTGTATAATAGCAATACAAAAAACACAATGTGGTAAATTATAATTAATTATAATTGTTTCTACAAATCTTTGCTACATACAAGAAAGTGTGATGTAGACTACTAATTTATGCTTGGAATTGCTACTTTCTTAACTACCTGTCTGATAAAGGTCTCTTACTTGAGGAGGCTACATGCTTGCAATCCTAGCATTTTGGGAGCCCAAGGCAGGCAGATTGCCTGAGCTGAGGAGCTCGAGACTAGCCTGGGCAACATGGCAAAACCCTGTCTGTACTTAAAATACAAAAAAATTAGCTGGGCATGGTGGCACTTGCCTGTAATTCCAGCTACTCGGGAGGCTGAGGCACGAGAATTGTTTGAACTCAAGAGGCAGAGGTAGCAGTGAGCCGAGATCGCACCTGCACGTCAGCCTGGACATGAACCTCACTCTTTACTAGTCTCATACTATATAGCAGCAGGACTTTATTTAAGAGTGTTTTCTGTAGCTGCAGTAGTAATGATGCAGTTATAGAACCTTCAGACTGGCTAATTTCTTCTTCAGAATTACATGGCAGTTTGTACTGGGTTGAAACAAATGGTGCGATGGACTAAGTTTCGCCATCAGAGACAAAGCAAGACTTTGAAAAACTCAGAATAAACATGGGCATGGGTTGCTTCTTGCTGCCACTGTCCATGTTGTTCCTGAAATCTCACTTCCAAGATGCCTTTTCATAGTCTCCTGTAGAATTTCCACATGCACTTAACCCGCTGCAGACATAGCAAGAGAGGAGTACACTAAAAGAGTGATACAAGCATCTGTATTTTAAAAAACTATGATGGTCAAAAAACTCTTATTCCTATCTTATGTATAAAGAAGACTGCAAAACTTAGTAAGGATGATATCTGACAACTGCTGATTGAGGATCTTAATAGGACTTTTCCTTGTTTTATTGAAAAACTTTAGTTATCCACAGCATAATGGGACCAGAATAGTATGAATTATTTATTCATTTGTTTAATTCAATGAGCAGTAATTGTCTCCTGTTTGCCAGATTCTGGGTCATGTACCAAGGATACATTACAGAACAAGGTGTTACTTGGAGAACTTACAGTTCTAGTGAGGATGGTCAAGTTGAAAAAGTAATTATAACAGTTAAAACATAATTAAAAGTGATTGTATTCATTTTCTAAGACTTCCATAAAAAGTGCCACAAACTGGTGACTTACACAGAAATTTATTCTCTCATTGTTCTGGAGACTAGAAATCTGAAGTCAAGGTGTCGGCAGTGCCATGGTCTCTCTGAATACCCAGAGAAAAATTTTCCCTCCCTATTCTTAGCTTTTGGTGGCTCCTGACAATTACTGGGGTTCATTAGCTTGCAGCTGCTTCACTCCAATCTCTGCGTTCATCTTCACATGGACTCCTCTCTGTTTTTCTGTGTGTCCTCTCCTCATATAAGAATACCATTCACTGGATTTAAGTTCCATCCTAATCTAATATGACCTCATCTTGATTTAATTACATCTGTAAAGACCCTATTACCAAATAAGGTCACATTCTGAGATTCTGGATGGACATAAGTTTTGGGAGGACACTGTTCAACCTGTTATACAGGTATATATTTATTTTTAGGAGGAAAACATCTTTGGCTATAATTAGGGAGATACTTATAAAATATGAGGATCCCTTCCTAAATAATATAAAGCAACAATTTTAGATAAAGAGACCAAAGAAATAACCTGAATATTTAATAAATGAGGAAACAGCACAGAGCGTTGAGTTATTGGATGAACCTCATACAATTTAATATGGAGAGTTTTGGCTTTTAGAAATAATTATCTTGGAAATATGAACTTGCAATGGTTCACTATTAGGTGCTTTTAACAATGCTTACTGGTTATGCATTGAAAATTTTCGTCTGTACAGATATAAGACCCAAATCTTATTTCAGGCAATAATTGCTATGTTATTGTCTTAATGTCTTAATTAAAACCACTGAAAATATCGCCTCTCACTGACTGGTAGAGATGATAACGAGCTATGAAATATTACACATTCAGGCAGAAGAAACATGAACTAACTTTACCAACAAATCAGGTAAATAATCCTGGATCCTGGATTCCCGGGTTTTTGCTTAGAATAGCTTCAACCAGGAAAGCTACCTGACTGGGACTGTGCTGGGATGTGAGCAAGAAATAAACTTTTATTGTGTAAAGCTATTAAAATCTTGAGGTTATTTGCTATGATACTTAGTGTTAATTACCCTAATACCTTGACTTTTGGGACTTCAAGAGAACTTATAGATTAGTTGATTTACTACTTTCATTTTATAATGAAAGAGAGAGAACATGTCCAAAATCACTCAAATAATTAGTAGTTCATCAGTATAACTGGGGCTGTAGTCAAAAAATCATTCTCTAGTTGTTTGCTTCAGAAATCCAGTAGAAATGACAAAGTCTTAGAATAAAAATTATTCTATAAATACATTTCTTTTTATATCAGAATTTGACACTATAGCCTAACCACTTGGAGACATTCTTTGAACAATGTTAACTCTGGGTCAAGAAGAGAATTAATTAGAGTGTCGAAAGAAGACACTGAGCTAAAAGTGATTAGATGTGAATTTGATGCCAGGTGGAATTTGAAAGGAAATGAAAAGAGGAAGACAGACACCGAGTTTTTTCTGGGGAAGGTTGTCAGTTGTCAGTAATCAGCAGAAGAGAAAAGGAACATATTCAGGTCACCTGGAGACACATCTCTCCGGAAACTGAGGCATAATGGAATGTCCAGAGTGGCCAGGGTTATGGGAAAATTGGGGATAAATATTAGGTAGAATGGCAGTTCTAAAACTAAAAATTGAAAAAGTGCAACGTTAACAGCCATCTAAAGGAGCTATGGATAAGTTAGGTAAACAAATAAATAAAGTTTTTTGTTTGTTTTCTTTTTTCCTTTTTTTTTTTTTTTTTTTGAGATGGAGTCTCACTCTGTTGCCCAGGCTGGAGTGCAGTGGCACGATCTTGGCTCACTGCAACCTCCATCTCCCGGGTTCAAGTGATTCTCCTGCCTCAGCCTTCTGAGTAGCTGGGACTACAGGTACGCACTACCATGCCCAGCTAATTTTTGTATTTTTAGTGGAGATGGGATTTCACCATGCTGGCCAGGCTGGTCTTGAACTCCTGACCTCGTGACCCACCCACCTCGGCCTCCCAAAGTGCTGGGATTACAGGCATGAGCCACTGCACCCAGCCACAAATAATAAAGTTTTGAGAAGGGAATTGAATGAATTAAAACAGAGAAGAAAGTATATTTCACTTTGCAGCAAAAGCTTTTATGTGCAGTGAGAAATGCAACAGCAATTGGAAAGATTAGCAAATCTCTATTTCTTAGGATTAAAAAGCTAAATTTTCTTTAGGTGAAGAGGTGAAGCGAATAGGAAAAATATGAGGAACTTCATGTTCACAGAGGGAGAACCTTAATTAAACCAATATTCAATCCATTTAAAAATCATTTCAAACATAATTCCAAACTTTGATGCTTGGTCTTCTATTTAGTTTTTGCAAAAGAGTAACCTTTTTTTTTTTTTTTTTAATCTGATTCCCTGGGTAGTCCTACTAAAAGGAATTACTGTAAACCTACATTCATCACCATGCATAACATAAGGTTTCTATTTAGAAAAGAAAAAAGTCAGCACTTTTATTTAAAGTGGCTTTTAAAAATCCACAATAGTTTTGTTTAAGTTTTTAGGGAATGTTTTTAGGGAAACTCAATATTTCTTAAGACTCTAAAGTAAAAAAAAAAAAAAAAAAGTTTTGAAGTCAAAGCAGAAGCAAGTTTCTTATCACCACTCATAATAAAAGAGTCACAACCTTCAGCCCAAACAGCAGTTATGTTTAGTTTTTGTTTTAAACATTAACAGTGAAGTTTGCCTGAGACTAATTTTGCATAAAAAATGTTGTCTCCTTAATAAATTTAGAAGTAATTTGCTTGCTAATTAAGTATAGCCTTTCAGATTACAAATAGTTAATGGAAATGTTTCACCTTCTCACCACACTCTCAGCTTTTCAACTTACTGTATACCCATACACACTGCAGTGAGTGCTGGTTGTTGTTGATGATGGCAGTGATGGTGAATATTTCACATTCTGTTTTCTTTGGGTAACAACAACCCAGCTTCCATAGGAATCAACTATTTCTCACTCCATTTGATTTTCTTTGTGTTACCAATCATAGTGGGGATTTAACCAACCAATCCCAACACTTCATCCTCCTGACCACAGAATTTGCTTCAGAGAAAGTCATACGACCCAAGTTACACAAATTGGAGTGATTATCTGGCATTTTATATGAACACTAAGGAAAGCTTTTTCTTTGCCTTTAAACCATGATGTGATTCCAGAGCTTCTGGTGACCATAACCCTGTCACACAGAGGAAATCCTGAAAAAATTCTCAAGTAGCTGGCTTAATCATGGCTTTTTTTCTCTTCGTTTCAATTTAAAATATATTGAGTGCCTATTTTATGCAAGATGCTAGGCTAGAGACAGTAAGAGGCTGAAAGATAAATATGATATTACATCTTTGTTAAGCTTTCCATCTACTTAATAGCCTGCAATATTTCAATCATCATAGTTTATTCCGCAGATTCTAAATAGAATGTATTTTCTTCCAGCTATTTGATAACTCTGAAAATATAGTGGTGAGAAAACAGACATGCTCCCTCACCTCATGGAGCTTATAGTTTATGAACAGAAAGACATTAATTAAATAGCTATGGGAATATATAGTTATAAATTATGATAAATATTCTGAGACAAATCTAACATATTTGAATACTTAAAGAAGAATCCACTTGAGATTTGATAGTGGAATGTGTTGTGGTGGTAATATAGTGAGACTTGAAAGCTAATGCTGGAACAAGGGAAGGCCTAAACCCTTAATGCTACTACTGGGCCCTCAAGAGAAATATGACACTGTGACACTAGAATAGGAATGCTGCCTTTGACTTAAATGTTCAAGGTCTCCACTACCGTTCTCAGTCATCCTCCTTGAAACTCCCTGGTAGCCTAAATAAAAGAAGCAACAGAGGTTGGTATAGAGGAGCTATTGGGACACATCCTGGAAGTCAGTGTAAAGTGGACTGAAACAGCAATGGTCCCTACATTTCTGGGACACTCTCCACCCCCCCACCATGGGGAGGGGCAATTGCTTCTGGCTGACTGATGGTGAGGAATTTTTAATATTAATAAATTATTCAATGAAAAGAATGAGATAATTTTTCACAAGTGTAATTTAACTATAATCCTGCAAGACAGTGTTTGAATAAACGAAACTTGAGGGAGCAGAAAAGATGGGTCTACTCGACATATTTTGCCATCTGCTGCAACTTTGCTGGGAAGAATTTTCTGCCATCAAAGTATTGGGTCTGGTATAGGTCCTAACATGAGGTTAGTGCTCTGTCATTGCTTTGAATGAATGAAAGATTGCAATGTGAAACAATTCACATGTTTGTGTTCAGCAGCTTTGCCTAAGTTCTAGGTAGAATGACTTTTTATCCTAATATATTATTATTGGTCGTTTCTCCATTAATGTCTCTTCATCAATTCCTTTCAGAAAAAAATATATTTGATTCTATCGACTTCTTTCTTTATTTGAAAAAAACTGTATTATTATAAAGTAAAAATCTTAACTATATTTCTAGCTCAGAAAGTTTGTAGTTCTGTGACTAGCATCTTTTAAACATCCCACTGTTGCTACAGAGGAATTTTACTAACCACAATTCCTACTTTAAGAACTAATAGAGACAGTTAGTGATGACAAGTATCAAGTTCATTTCCAGAAGTGTGTGGTTATTTACTGTTCACTATTCAGCATGTGGAAAACTTTGGTGGAGTTCTTCCTGAGGAATTGGAAAAGACATCAAAGAGGAATTAAAAGTACTCAAAGACTTGGGTTCAAGGACATCAAATAGTCAAAGATTAGAGAAATGCCATTCTAAAGAGGAGGCAAATTAATAAAATTACATGCAAAGAAAAGAGTTTTGATTTTTAAAGATCTTTAAAGCTATAGTGTGAGCATTTCAAAATTATTTTTAATGAATTTTCAAATTAACTATTTCAAAGGCGATCTACTCTCCAACAGTTTATATCAATTTCTATCAGCAGACTATAATCTAGAGAACGCTCATATGGTAAGCAAAGATTCCTTGTTAGAGAATATTTCTTTGAATTACCAACTGGTGAAAGTTTGCTATAATTGGAGACAGCAGAGAGGGAAAAGTAATAACTTCAAATGAAAATTCTAGCTTGAAGGAAAGTTGATTGAGTTAAATTATGAAATGTTCAGTTATTTGTGGGCATAGGTTTCTTTTCTGATTATAAGGTCCATATTTCTGCTCTTTATAATCATCTATAGCTCCTTTCATGATTCCTTGTTTATGTTTTAAAAGCTTCAGGAAGAAATGCAAGCAGAGTGTGTAAGGAAAAGAATTAAATTCAAAAGAAAAATAAAACATATTAAATAATTTAAAGTAATATAAAATGAAGCAAATAAAATTTTAAAGGCAACAAGTTATGCCATTTGATTTATTAGAAACTAAAGAAAGAAGACTGGAAAGAATAAAGGGAGAATGGATGAATAGGTATACAAGTATTTATCAGTCCATCCATCCATTCATTTATCCATCCATCCATTCATTCATTTGACTCCAAACTGTCTGCACCCCAGATTCATATTTCCAGATACTTTTTGGACAATTCCATCAAGACTTTACAGCTTTCTGTTTCTCAGTAAGTTGAAAGCACTAACATTCACTTAATTTCCCAGGATTACAAACTCAGACTCATTCTTTATTTGACCTTCTTGTCTGCTACTCATACAAAATTATCAAGTCATACTGATTCTACATTTGAAAAGTCTCATTTGTTTTCCCTTTTTGGGGACATGTCATAGATCATCTTGCATGGATTACTGCAATAGAATTGTAACTGTCTCCTGATTTTACTTCTTGGAGCACTTCCAATTCATCTTATTTATTGATGCTCAATGTATTTTTCTTTATTTTTAAGAAATAATTCTTTCAAATACACAAGATATTATACAATATAGCATAACAGAGAACAATATTTAAAAATTGTTAGTATTTTGCAATGTTTGTTTTACACATTTTAATTATTTTAATTTTTTAGGACATAAAATACTACTGCTAACAGCTGAAGACACTTTTGTACCCCTTCCCTGTTTTCATTTCTTTCGCACCCTTTTCAAACAAACTGAGTGCCCTAAGGTTGGCATGTACCTTCCCAACCATTAAAAATAATTGTATCATGTATGTACACATTCAAAGCAATATTTTGTATAGTTTTTGTATTTTAAAATAAAAAGGCATGGTATAATACCAGGCGTATTCTTCTGCATCTTGCTTTCCTTATTCAACATTACTTTACATTACTTCAACATTTTTTCATTCAACATGATATGATGTATTCCTGTTGATACAATTAATTTGAAATTTTGTGTACTGCTCTATCTTCCCATATTTCCTAATATTTATTTTTTAAGATTTTAGTTTCAGCTTGTTAGTAATCATTACCTCTTCCCAATTGGTTATTATTAGTATTATTAATAGTGTTAGTGGCAGTATAAGTAGTACGAGTGCCAGTCAGTGCTTGTTTAAATTTATAAACGTCTTCATCAGTTTCTTTGCTCATTTCTTCTTGCATCCTACTGTGTTTTTATGACAGGTTCCTTGCTAATAAAGTCTATTTATTAAATAGTAAACTCTCAGAGTCTTTGACTAAAAGCATCATTTAACTTCTTGATTGAGTCCACAGAAATGAGTGGAGTTCAAAGTTTACCTTGGCACCAGATATTATTTTATCCTTCTCTGGAAACTTTTACTTTTAGCCAAATTATTATTTTTGTATATAGCTGTCTTAGTCTTCTCAGGCTGCTATCACAAATCACCATAGACTGGGTAGCTTATAAACAACAGAAATTTATTTCTCACTGTTCCAGAGGCTGGGAAGTCCAGGATCAAGCTGCTGGCAGACATAGTGTTTGGCAAGGGCACATTCCTCATAGGTGGTTCCTTCTTGCTGCATCTTCACAGGGTGAAGGGGCTAGACAGCTCTCTGGAGTCTCTTTTGTGAAGGTACTAATCTCATTCATGAAAGCAAAGCCCGCATGACTTAATCACCTTTGAAAGACCTCAGCTTCTAATACTATTATATTAGGGATTATGTTTCAATGTATAAATTTTAGGAGATGCAACTATTCAGGCCATTGCAGTATCCTGTAATTTTTTTGAATTATTTTAAAGATTTCTATGTGATTAATGATCTATATTTCTTAAACTCAAAAAAATCTGGGCCTTTATTTTGTTGAATATTGCCTCTCACTCTTTGACTTTATTACGGAACTGTATTAGACATATGTTACTGAATCTATCATTTTGACTCAAAACTTCTTTTCAGGTCACCTCTAACTTAACTTCTGAGTTACATTTTGTATGATTTTTTTTTCAAGTTCATCTTTTCCTGGCTTATTGTCTTAACGGAATTTACCATCTAACAGTCTATAAAATGTACTTACTGTCTTTGTAATTACTTATAATTTCAGGGGCTGTATTTCTTAATGTTGACTTTGTTCCTAACTTAAAACTACCTACCCTTCTTTTATACCCTTAGTGTTTCCATTGTGATTTCTATTTTTTAAATCTTCTTAATCATTTACCACTTGGGTATTAATATTATCATTTAGTTTATAAATTATTATTTCCAATTCTTGGGTGCTAGTCTCCCTCTCTGTTGCTTTCACAAACTTTCCTTCATAGTGGGTAGTTTCCTCTTTTATTATATAATTTTTTAATGTGAGCTAATCCTTAGTGGGATTCTTTGTACTCTAGGAAATCTAAAGTGTTCTGACGTATGAGAGGGTTTCTGTAAAGTGGTTTATTTCCTCTGTGGCTTTAGGAATTTCAGTGGTATGGTAGGCATTATTCATAGATGGCCCTTATGAGCTTTGTGTCTTAATATTACCCCATGATTCTGTTATATTACATGGTCATGATGGTCAACTTTAGGTGCAAACTTGGCTAGGCTATAGTCCCCAGTTATTCAATTTAATAATAATCTAAGTATGCCTGTGAAGTATATACCAAACAGTATCTGAGACAGATCTCGACCAATTTAGAAGTTTATTTTGCAAAGGTTAAAAATTGATGTGGACTGGCTCTGTGTCCCCAGCTAAATCTCATCTTGAATTGTAATCTGAATTGTAATCCCTACATGTTGGAGGTGGGACCTCATGGGAGCTGATCAGATCATGGGGGCTGCTGCCCCATGCTGTTCCCATGATAGTGAGTGAGTTCTCACAAGATGGTTTTATAAGAGGATATTTCCCTGTTTGTATTCATTTCTCTCTCCTGCCACCCTGTGAAGAGGTGCTTTCTGTCATGATTTTAAGTTTCCTGAAGCCTCCCAAGCCATGAGGAACTGTGAGTCAATTAAACCTCTTTTCTTTATAAATTGCCCAGTCTCGGGTATTTCTTCATAGCAGTGTGAGAACGGGCTAATAGAAAGATGATGACCTATGAACCTCAGGTGGTCCTAAGAACAAGTGTTTGAGGTGGTTGGGTTACAGCTTGATTATATACATTTTAGGGATATGTAAGTTACAAGCAAAGACATAAATTAATACATGTAAGCTATACATCGGTTTGGCCCAAAAAGGCAAAGGGTGGAGCAGGGGAAGGAGTGTGCTTCCAAGTGGATTTCAAGGTTTCCTGACTGGTAATTTGTTGAAAACATTGAACTTTTCCTGAAAAGGTGAAATCAGCTTGAGTTACAGTAAGGGTGGTGGTGGTGGGGACTGTGCAAGCCAAGGTTCTTGTCATGTAGATGAAGCCTCCTGGTAGCAGGCTTCATAGAGAATAGATGCGAATGTCTGCTAGGGAAGTTGTTATACTTTAGGAAAGACCTAGTAAGGGAAGGAGATTCTCTACAGAATGAAAAATGTCCCTATAAGAGACAGCTTTGCCCTGCTATTTCACAACATGTCAAAGAAATATATCTTGGGGTAAAATATTTTTATTTCCTTTTAGGGCTTGTTATCTGTCATTTGATGTTATATCAGAGTCACGTTGGAGTTCGTATCTTATTGCTACAGAATCTGTTCTGTCAGTCTTAGGATCTCTATTTTAATGTTAATGCTAGTCTGTTGTGCCTGAACTCCAAAATGGGGAGAGGCATTAGGACTTCAACATACAAATTTTGGGACACAGTTTATCCCATGATGGAGATACTGGATGATCACTTGTCAGGATGTTGTCCAGAGGCTACTTCTCATGAAAAGTAGATTTTAAAAAAGGCTACTAATACTAGGAATCTATGATTCAACACTCCTAAAAACCACAATGGAAAGTTTCATATAAAAGAATATTCTTTATAATTTTAGAAGGGTCAAACTTTAAGTTTCCTAAACCCTATTTACTCTCAATTAGTATCTCCTCATAACTTCCAAGCTATTTCTTATCTGTTAAATCTGGACAGAAACTTTTGATACATATGGAGGGGATATAACACGTAACTATCTGCTTTATTATTTTAATGATAATTCAAATGTTACATGTTTTTCAAATATTATTGTGAGTCAAATGATTCAATCTAAAATAACTTTTTAGAGATAAATGTACATGAATAAGTACATTTTAAGTAAAATTAAGCTTATTATAACTTACTTATTTTAGATTGTTTATAGTTAAGATTTTAGAATTGTCTTTATTTAATACTTTTAGGGTTAGCCTGAGGCTTCTCTAGGTCGGGGAGCCTCAAGAAAGAATGGAAAAGAAATAATGAAGCAGAAGTGGTCTGTGTTTTTTACAGAAAAAAAAAACAACAAGATAAGTTGCTATCTTGAAACTTCCAAGCTAAACAACATAATTATAAGAAAAATCAGGATCAGGTGGTAGAATGAGAGTACAGTTTCACAGTCAAATAAATTCCTTGGAGACAGATACTTCAGCTTTAAGTAGTCTTCCAATCTGACAAAGGCAATACAGGGAATATAGTGTATATTACATAATACCCCTTCTAAGCCTAGGATACTGCCCTATAACTAAAGATAATGGAATACAAAATATAAATATTAATACTAAGCAGATAAATGAAGAATATGCATGTCTTTTATAAGTTAAGGTGATGTTTCAATGCTTAATTAAGTTCAAGTTAGTCAGATTTTACCATCAAAATACACTAAAATAAATTTAAAGATTTTGAAGCTCTTGGATTTCAGAATTTTTAATATGCAATTATGGACTGGCATAAACATTCAGTGAGCTGTGTATTTAGTGGGGAAAAGATGAGATCCTGAAAATCAGGGTAAAATGTGTGATTCTTCCATAAATATCAAAGAACATCTTGACAATAGGGCTTTCCAAATAACTATAAATTTGTTTAAGGAACTTAACTGGACACATCCCTTTCATGTAGCATTTGCACTGGCTTTTTAAAACCTGTACATTTATAATTCCATCTGAGTAGGAACATATTTTACCACTATTAGCACTAAATAAATATTGTGATGTCAAAAGGTAACCAAACCCCCAAATTGTTGGCCATGTGCTGCCTCACAGATCCCCTGACTTCTGTTTTCCTTTGGGAGAAGAGCAATGTTTGTCAGTAATTGGACACTGTCATTCTAAAGGGGTCCTAAGCCCACAGATGCCACCATAGCTGGGAGGAATCTGATTTGCAACTTAACTAAAACAAAGTCATTTACTTCTTTTGTTGCTCTGCAAAGGCAATTAGAAGCAGAGCAGCAGCTGCATATAATAGTAGAATAAGGCTGAATGAGGAGTGTGTGTGTACGTGTGCTTTGCATTTTAAAGCAGGTATAAATAAGCACTCTTTTCATCTTTTCATTTATTTTAATTCTCTCAAAGAAGCCAGAGTTAGGAACTTTGGAAAAGAACAGGGAGAACCTTGTAAGAGAGCTTATTTGTCATCAATCTCTGCTTTTCATTTCTGTCGGTTTTAATTCCAGGATGCATTCCCATGACTTAAGTGATCCTTCACTCTAGTTCTGTGTTTAGGATTTTTGCAATGACAAAGAGCTTAAATATACCACATCTTGATCCTCTGCTAACAACATTTGTCACAATTAAAACAAACATTTACTTCTTGTGCTAAATGGTTTTCCTGACAATCTCTGGCCTTGTTCCATCTTTGCTATCTGTTCTCCTGAGGCTGTTTTCCTTAATCTAACTAAACCAACTGAGAGATCAAGGATTGGGGCTTGTTTAAGTAAAGAAGATAGAAACACCTTTCTATTAAAACTGCTTTTGAAACAAACTCCATCCTTTAATTTTACTTTAATAGTTTCTCCTACCACCTATGTTTTCAGTTAAAAAAAGCTTCCTTGTCATCCTCATAAGTGACAAACGGTTAAAATTACTGATGGCAACAGCAATGCGCTGGATAGTAGTTAATTATGCTCTCGTACATGTCTTTCATTAAGGTGCTGTTTTCTTCACCAGAGTCCTCAATAAAGCATTTCTCAAAGGGCCCTTTAGGAATCTGTGCAAGAAGGAACAGTCTATCAGGGAGCTCCAGGCGGGATGCAGAGCTGAAGCCTGTGAGGCGGTATTATTGAGCCTGAGTAATGCAAGCTGACAAGGCCTGATCAATGGGATTCTCTGGGGGTATAGTCTGACAAATGCAGGCTCCATGACAAGCATAGTTTTCTAAACAATGTGAGGCTTTATTTACTGGTTCATTGGTTATGAAAAAGACTTAGTCCAGAAGAAGAATTGGGATTTAATGAAGAAATTGTCCCCAGTAGTTGAAAGCAATATGACTTGATGGTATTATCAATGATGGGCTTATTGGTATTCATACTTTTCATCCTATGGCATCAGTAAAATCTCTGGCTAAAAAGCATTACTAAGGAATTGCCTAGTGGCAAATTTGGGTGAGAAGAGTCATATTTCTGGACTTGGCATCTTTGTGTTTGCCAAGGTATGCCAAAGGTGAAAACTAGCACCGTCCAATGGCTTTGAAGCTTTGGCTTCTAAAATATGTTCCATTATAATAGTCTTGACTATGATGTTTTGTATCTTCACTTTAGAGCAGTCTTTCTTTACTTTACTGTTTTGTAATATTCCATATCTAATGAAAATAACTTTAAAATAAAATTTGGAAAGGAGTACTCTTTACTTGGTTTTTACTACATTGGAAACTACATCTTTGAAACTAGTTACATTGTTTTTCCTAGATGAGATATGTTTAGTAACAGAAAGAGGAGGCTTTTAAAGTAAGATCTTCAGAGATAATGCAGTTCTTGTTGAGAGAGATTGAGAAGCACCTATATAACATGAAGTGACAGTTAGTACACAGGATTTTAATCTCAGTCTTCTGTTCCTCTGGTCTAAACAACTGACAATAACCCATAACAAGTATATGTAAGAAAACAGTTCTTTCAGACTATTGCCTTGTCCCACATCATTTATGTTAGGATGGCAGCTTCTTAACTTTTAGGTCCGTGTTACTAAGCTTTTAGAATGATTGAAGTTTTTCGAATCATAGGTTTCGTTATCACCTAGCATACTTTGAAAATTGTTGGCCGTGTTTCCATAATGTTACGGCTCTCTGTTAACCTTTGTGATTCATCCACGTCTGCTAGTGGCTCAACTATATTGTGTTATTATTGTTATTTTTATTATTCTTATTGGTAGAATGACAGAGGAAGAGTCATGTTCGAAATCTCTATCTCCTTGGAGAATGAGAAGGAAAGAGATATCCAATTATCAAGAGATATGGAAGCCATGATGTTTTCTATGCAACACTATTCAGTATAATCACCTTTCTTATTCACTTCACCCTGAATTCCCTATAGTCAAAAGAAGGATTGGCACCACTTCGATTAATATTTAAATTTAATACACTATCTTCAAGTCAATCCCATGCTTGGAGTAATGTATTCTTCTGATAGATGCATAGCTTTTGTCCAAAACAACTCCTTAATTTGCTTTAAAATCAACCAGTACTTTGTCACAATTTTCAAATTCTTTTTTTGCTTCTATTGTGAGGCCCTATTAGTATCTGCAAGAACTTCTTAAAATGTGAAGATGACTATAATCATAACATTTCTTTATGAAGTTCAAATTCCACAAATTCTTTCATTAATATCACTGAATTCATGTCCTATAATAGCTAAAAGGAGAGGGTTTTTAGTCCACAAATACAGAGAAGTAAAATGTAGAAAATGAGTGAGTTTACAAAGAAAATTCATATAGATTAGATTAAGTACACTGATTAATCTACAAATCCACCTTAAGTTCTCTCAGACCTGAATTTAAGCCTTTTGACTTCCAAACAAGTATTTTATTATGCAGTTTATCCTAAATTCTCCCTAATGACAATAAAATCTTTGAGTCTTGAAAAAAGCATGAAATTAGAATTCAGTGTTTGCATTACCATTTCAGCCTTTCTCTTCACTTCTGTCTAATAGTGTAGAAGGTTTGGCAACTTCTCTGGGCTTGTCTAATGACTGGTTTCTCTTGGCATTTAGCCCTGTTGGTCTCACTTTATTTACTTATGCAGAATATCCCAGATAAAGGAAGATTATTTGAGAACTTTACAATAAATAAATGAATTTTTAAGTGCCTACAATAATTTCTAAATCAAAGCTTTCTTTTATAAGTCACTGATAAAAGAAATACATCAGGCCAATTTAAAAGAGGAAAAGTAATGTCAATATAGAAATTTTATGCACATGTTTGTGTGTGTGAGGGACCAGATAAGATAAAGAAATGATAATCTCTAGATGAAATATTTCTGCAGTCAAATCATTTGCTTTTCTTTCTGATAGTAGTTCTCACAAATTTAAATAGTTTTCTTTTTCTTTCTGATGGACTAAAGATATCTCAGGAGTTCATATGAAGGACAAAAACAAAACAAAACCTGTATATCTCAAACTGCTCCCAAGGAAACCACTGTGTGACTTTATGTTAATTTCCCTGTTTTATTATATGTTGCCATGATGTTCAAATAAAACCTTTCGAGTCGAAGACTTGAAGTACAGAAATATAATGTGAAGATGGAAATATAATCACCAAATTCGTGACAGTATCTACATTATCTGGAATTAAACACACACACATACACACACACACAAACACACACACAACACATATCCACCGATAATCATTCTTTTCAGATTTTAAAACTTTTCCCTTCTACCAAAATTATTACTTTTGCTAAGTGCCCAAATGATTATATGAGTTATAATATGAGTTAAAATGGTTATATGAGTTAAAATATTTGGAGAAAGAAAATTTGCTTGAAAATGCAGAAAATTTTTAGATTTTGCCACAACTAAGCTCTTTAAAAGAATGTATTTACTCTGTCTCTCTCTGGACTTGCATGAAGAACCAAAACTTAGTAAATGTAGGGGCACGTGAACTTTTTATATAACTATGAGATCACAGAATATAGTTGCTTCTTATTTTTTTCTAAAATGTGTAGCTCAGAGACATCCTGATTAACAAAAATAATCCACACTTAAGACATGTAGATTTTTTTGTTGACTTGTTAGTCCTGATGAAAAATTGATAAACAGATAACTGAATATACACACATGCATACACATGTAAAATAATTTCAATATGTTATTTGTTTACTGATTACCTCTTGGACCAAATGATTCCAAAAGGACTCAGTCTTAGTATTTTTGGCATCTGAGATTAATTATTTATTATTTATATATTTATAATTATTTATTATTATTATTATTGTTTTACACTCAGAGCCATTACAAGGTTGTGAAACTTCACAAACTATCATAACAGTGTGCGTGCTGTATATATAACTATGCTGCATATTCCTTAGTATTTCAGTATAGAAAACAAAATCAATTTTAATCATGTGCTATATATTTTGCTGGTGTGAACTTGTGCAAATAGGAAGAGGGGCAGTAAGCAATGGCTGAAACCACAGTAATGGCTAAGAGGTTGTGACGGTGCAAAATAATGTGCAAAGTGAAATAAAATTTACATCTAGACGATTTCGGCAATTTCTACTTTAAAAATCATCATTGCTTCGGCAGGGAGGAATGATATGCTATTTTGGACGCTTTTCTCTTCTTTCACTTTAACTTCTTCTAGGCACAGATTCTGCTCCTTTGACAGCAGCGCAGCGCTCATTATGTACTGAAAGTCATCAAGTGGAGGTTAGGAGAGTGGAAGCCTGTTCCCTGAAGCAATTTGTTTCAGCAATGTGCTAGAGCATAGTTCACAATTATCTTTAATATGAATGAGAAGCTGGAGGCTCTTGAATAGGCAGATGGAGTTCTGTTTTTTCCCCCAAGACCATAAACTTGTCTGCCTCTTTTTTCAAAGTACATTCATCATCTTGGTTGCTATTTTGTTTAACCTTGTTCTGCCATTCTTTCCTATTACTCTGCTTAGTTTATCCATTCTGGGTTAGCTAATTGGCTTTGCTTAGCCCTCCTTTTCACACATTTCCATTCCATTCCAGATGTGATTCAAGTCCCATTAGCTCCTACTTCATTTAAACCAACATAGGGCTCATGGGACTGGTAGGGCTGTTGGAGACAGGTGCAACTGGCCAGATGGCTGACTTGCCAGGAGGGTGGAGCAGACCAAGCAGGTCCCCTGCTAAATTCAGACTGTCAGGCTGAGACAGCTAAAAGGGTTAGCAGAGGGTTACACCTCGATTTAATTGTTATAGTTCTTCTCTTATTGGCCCCTCTTTAGAATCCAAATGCATATTATTTTCAGGCTTAAAGCCAACTTAAGAAACAACCAAGTTGCTTATAAAATATTAGGTATCCACCATTATAATGTGTGCTGCCAAGACACTGCTTGGTTCTATTTCGAAAAAAGGAAGTTAAGACCAGTTAGAGAAATTATTTGGGTGCTAACCTTCCTCTGTGAGCAGCTATTTCTATGCCGTATTTGCTATTCCTCTAAGACTCTCACTCTTTTGAACTCAGAGGGCACCACTCTGAACCTTGAATTGGCTGTCTTGTATTGGCCAGTGCATTAGTCTGTTTTCACGCTGCTGATAAAGGCACACTCAAGACTGGGTAATTTGTACAGGAAAAAGCATTTAATGGACTTACAGTTCCACGTGGCTAGGGAAGCCTCACAATCATGGCAGAAGGCAAACATGAATGGCAGCAGGCATAGAGAGAGAGCTTGTGCAGCGGAACTCCTCATTTTAAAACCATCAGATCTTGTGAGACTTATCCACTCTCCCAAGGACAGCACGGGAAAGATTTGCCCCCATGATTCTATTACCTCTCACTGGGTCCCTTCCACAACATGTGTGAATTCAGGATGAAATTTGGGTGGGGACGCAGCCAAACCATATCAGCCAAGCATGCAAAATGGAGAATCATGTGGATCTTGACCACTACCAATTCATGATATCCAATCAACAACATACTGGCCTAATTATTTTTCATTATTTTTTGCCAGAATATTATACAAGGTGTCTTAAGAATCACTATCAAATCTAGATTCTACCCACTTTGCTTTTGCAAAGATGACTGGAAATTCATTTCCTTGTTGTCCATTGGCACATATTACTCTATATTAACTTCCTTTCACGTGCCTCTAACAATATTGTATATTTAAGGGACATCCTTAGCTTGTAATTTCCAATTCACATTATTTGTTTTTACTTCAATTCCCATTTTTGCTGAACTTGGAGCAACGAACAGTGTTAAACCCCTCAACGTGGAGATCTTATTTTTCTACTTGATTTTTGAAACAACATATTTTTGGTTTCTATTGCATATTCTGGCTCCATCTTCTTTTTCTTTTTCTTAGTATATTCTCTACACTGTGTGTTGCTCAAGTATCTCTTCTACCCTCTGGAGTTATCTCTATTTGTTTTTCCACAATAAACTGGCCCTTTTGCATCCCACAATGACTTTTTACGGTGACTCCCTATCTTTGGCTCAAGTCCCAAATACTTATCTCAATCACAGGTTTTTATTATATTAATATATGATTTTAGGATTGGTAGATTTCAAAACCAGCATTATGGTCTTCTTACTTCTATGAGATCAAAGGCTATTATTTTTTATTTCATTTATTCCACAATATCTTGTTAATCTCCCCATCATTTTTTTGTTTTTTTTACAAAAATATGCTTTTATTTCTCTACTTTCTTAGTTCCACTGCTAAGTATTCTGGTCTAAGTGTTCATTAACACATATTTGAAATATTGCAAAGGATTCTACCTAAAAATAATTGATACAGAGGACAACAGAAGCTAGGTATCATTCACTATTTACTGTGTGGTAGATTTTTTTTTAGTTGATTCATGCATGTTGTCATTTGGTTGCCACAATATCCTTATGAAGTAACCATTTTATAGATAAGAACATTGAGGCATACAGAGGTTATGCAGCGTGCCTGGTATTATAGAACTAATGTAAGATGTAACTTGAGCCCAGGATTTCTGAGAACAGCTATGTTATAATGCCCCTATTTTCCTTCTTTCTCTCCTCTAATTATGATAATGTGGTTTCAGACCAATACAGGACATTCCCGGGCTTAATAGCTTCCAAAAACAATTCCTTTTTTTCTTTCTTTTTTTTTTTTTTTTTTTTTTTTAGACGGAGTCTCGCTCTTGTTGCCCAGGCTGGAGTGCAGTGGCACAATCTTGGCTCACCACAACCTCCTCCTCCGGGGTTCAGGCAATTCTCCTGCCTCAGCCTCCTGAGTAGCTGGGATTACAGGTGCCCACCACCATGCCCAGCTAATTTTGTACTTATTTTTAGTAGAGATGGGGTTTCACCATGTTGGCCAGGCTGGTTTCAAACTTCGTGACCTCTGGTGATCCGCCTGCCTCGGCCTCCCAAAGTGTTGGGATTACAGGCGTGAGCCACTGCACCCGGCCCAAAAACAATTCTTAAATACTATTAACACAAATCAATATGCACCTATCTTCCCACCTGACTCTTGGGGTTTTCTTCCTACTTTTTTCATCCTTTCCTTGGAATTTTGATATCAGTTATCCCTCCTGCACTCTGGGTCTTAAAGGAGAAAAACAGATCAGTATTTAAAGGGAACACATTATGAGGGATAAATTTTCCCCAATAAAGGATCTTTGTATGAAAGCTTATGGCTAAAGAAGTTATATTTTTTATCTTGACTTCATCAGTTATTGCACTAGCCTGCCCCACTGCCATACTTCCAATTTATTTTTACTCTATATTAATCTTCCTATGTCACCAACTTTTTATGTCATTCTGTTTTGTTTTGTTTCTTAAAGGTGCCTCTTTCCCTGCTTCTTGAAGGATAAGAATGCTGGCCTATCATTCAAAACCATTGGCTAACTATGTATAACTTTACTTTTATTATTCTTGCTGTATGTACTTTCCACTTCAACCAGAGTATTGTCATTACCTCATTAATGTTCCCTTGTTCCCTCCAGTCCCTATGCCTGGTAAGATCTCATCTTTGTATTTTGAAATTTTACCCATTTTCCAAAAGCCAGATCATGGCTTTTATGCTCCTCAGCTCGTAACCAAAAATTAGGTCTTTCATTTCTCTGCTCTCAATGTACCCATACTTCTCTTATTGCATTTATCATATGCTGATTTGAATTTTTGTTTTCTCTTTATACACTTTTCTTAGTGTTCCTGGTGGACTGTAAAATATTAATATAAGGGGTCGGCATCACATACTACTTTGCATTTTCTAATAGTAATGGACTCCTTATAGTATGTGCTCAGTTAAGATTTATTTTTAATACTATACCTAATAAAGGATATCATTCTTACCTCAGCTTATAAGGTGCTTTGATGAAAATTCCAAACCCACCATCAGCATGATGGTAACAGCTATCAATTAAGATATGCCAGAGACAATACTGGCATTCTGTATAGTCTTTAATTTCACTCTTCAAACTACCCGGCATTGTAGGTATCATGACTCTTATTTTATAGGTGAACTAAGGTTCAAGGCATCTTGTTCAGGATCCAGATAGTAAATGTTGGAGTTAACTATAAAATTCAACTGTGCCTTACTGGTCTCCAAAATCAAATTCTTATTTTAAATATTCCTATACAACCATTTTTAATAAAACTCATTGAAATGTCTCTTAGGCTGCTTCATTCTTTTATGTTCCCACTATACAGAGAAAAACTGGGGGCACCCTCATCAATAGATATGTTGATTTTCAGACTGTGTTCTTAAGTGATTTGCTTCCACTTGAAATCCCCCTCACTAGGCACTATTTCCTATTCATGGTTGCCTGACTCATTTACCTTAAAATGTTCTCCTGTCATCACATTTTTCCCAGTCAGCTAGTTATAAAATGTTTGAATAATGTTTTTGATCATCAATTTTGTATCTCTAAAATGGGAATAATGACATAGTCTATCTCATAAAGTTGCAAGTATCAAATGGATGCTTACAAAGCAGGGCTCTGCTCACAGAGTAAGCATTTAATACATTTTAGTTATTTTTTATTTAAAGCACATTTTAAAAGAGAATAGCCATGTATAACCTCATTTTACAGAGAAAGGAAATGAGATGCAGACAAGAGATTTGTCTCAAATCAACCAGAGGTTAGAATCAGGTCTAAGAATATACTCTGACCCCATTACTCCCAATACTGATACTTTTTATAATATGCAAAATTATTTGACTTACCTTCTACCCACTTTTCCCCCTTATCTGTCATCATGTATCTTTTGTTTGCCCAAGGTCTGTTTTCTCACCATCCACTCTAAGCAATGTGCTCATTGGTACAATTTAATTTTTGCTGTTTCAGTTTTGAAAAGTCCTCTTAAACTCTTCCTAGTTATTAACGTTGTCCAACCCACAGGTCCTTTTCAAATAACACTCACTCATATGTTTTCCACAAAAGCCTCAGGTCACACCTACTTGTTCCTCCCTGACTTTCTCTCATGTTTACTTTGTCTATAATATTATGCATTTATTATACCTTGCTTGTCCTATAAATGTCTCATAGTGTGTGGTACTGATTTTAGTTTTACAGAAGGAAGTATTAACATACATAACTGGTTAAAGCTGAAGGAGCTATAACTGCACTGCTTTGCTGAGACTTTTTCACTGTTATCATGGCAAGACTTGGTTTGCTATCCCATGTGTTATGTTGGAGTACACTGTGGAACAGGCAAATTTGTGCTTCTAAGCTTTTATACAAATGTATGAAAAATATTTTTTCAATAATGCTTTTTGCAACTGTTCAAAAGTCAGACTTTAAGTTCAGAGTTGTCATCAACTCTACCGCTAAAACTCAATTTATTATCTTTACTAATTTGCTATTTCTCTAGAGATTTGTGTAATGCTGAAACATGAAAATATTTGTTCTACAAAATATACTTTCCAAAGTGCCTAAGATAGTGGACAGAGATTTTCTAGAATTTTTCCTTTCCTGTTTCATTGTACTGCCCCAATTTCTCTTTCTTATTTTATCTTTTCCCGACACAGTAGAAGAGTTTTATAGACTACTCTGGAGTTTAGGGCAACTTACACCTAAAGTAGTGAAACAAAAATCCCCCATTTCCATGCACAATTCATCTCTCTGATAGCTTTAATCAATCTCTTTGATCATACTCAGGTGAGGTTTGCTGCTTAACTGTTTTATGCTATCCATGGGTCAACTCAAGACGACATTGTCCACAGAAGTCTAAGGAATGTGTAACAGGAAGTCAACATTGTTATTCCTATGGTGATATGGCTTGGCTCTGTGTCCCCACCTAAATCTCATCTTGAATTGTAATAATCCCCATGTGTCAAGGGTGGGACCAGGAGAAGATAATTGAATCATGGGGGCATTTTCCCCCATGCTGTTCTTGTGATAGTGAGTTCATTCTCAGGAGATCTGACGGTTTTATAAGGGCCTTCCCCCTTCGCTCTGCATTAATTCTCTCTCCTGCCACCCCGCGAAGAGGTCTTTTCTGCCATGAATGTAAGTTTCCTGAGGCCTCCCCAGCCATGCAGAACTGTGAGTCAATGAAATGTCTTTTCTTTATAAATTACACAGTCTTGGGTATTTTTTCATTGGCGCATGAGAATGGACTAGTACATATGGTGAAATATATTCCATCTTCCATTTATAGATTCATTGTTTTAATTTATTAACTCTTGTGAGAAAATGTTCATTTATTTTTATTTTCTGCCAATATTAGCTCTGGGAATAAGCAAGCAATTCTTCAAGTTTTGGATAATAGTTTAAATATTAGCATTGTCTTTGGGTGGTAGTATCATGATTAGTTTTTTTTAACATATCATATAGTATTTAAAAAATTAATATGAAGTACTTTTATCATCAGAACAAAACTACTTTAATTTCTACTAAAAAAAGACTTTTCAGAGTTATCTATTTAAAGTAGTATTTCAACTTATACTTTTAAAATGTATCACAACTGTTTCTCTTTGTTCCGATATTTTTAAAGGTATTTTCTGTTGCAATGTTCAATATATTGATCTTTGATAAAGTTACTCATCTTTGTCACTTTTAGTCATAGCAGGATAATAATAATTGGAACATTTAAATAGAGATACTTTCATATACACACTTTTTAATTTTTTAATTTTTAATTTTTGTAAGTACATAGTAGGCATATATATTTATGGGTTATGTAATATAGGCATGTAATGTGTAATAATCACATCAGGGTAAATAAGGTATCAAGTATTTATCACGTCAAGCATTGATCCTTTGTGTTAAAAACAATCCAATTATTCTTTCAGTTATGTTCAAATGCACAATTAAATTATTTTTGACTATAGTCACCCTGTCATACTGGTAAATGCTAAGTCTTATTTAGTCTTTCTAACTATAATTTTGTATTCATTAACCGTCCCCACTTTCCCACCATTGCACCCCTCCACTACCCTTTCCAGCATCTGGTAACCATCATTCTACTCTCTATCTCCATGAGTTCAGTTGTTTTAATTTTTAGCTCTCACAAATAAGTGAGAACATGTGAAGTTTGTCTTTCTCTGCCTAGCTTATTTTACTTAATAGAATGGCCTCCAGTTCCATCCACGTTGTTGCAAATAACAGGATCTCATTCTTTTTCATGGCTGAATAGTACTCCATTGTGTATATGTACTATATTTTCTTTACCCATTTATCTGTTGATAGACACTTAGGTTGCTTCCAAATCTTGGCTTTTATGAATAATGTTGCAATAAACATGGGAGTGTGGATATCTCTTTGATATACTGCTCTCTGTTCTTTTGGGTGTATACCTAGGAATGGGATTGCTGGATCATAGAGTTTTTTTGAGGAATCTTGAAACTGTTCTCCATAGTGGCTGTACTAATTTACATTTCCACCAACAGTGTATGAGGCTTCTCTTTTTCTCCACATCCTCACCAGCATTTGTTATTGACTAGCTTTTGAATAAAAGCCATTTTAACTAGAATGAGATCATATCTCAATGTGGTTTTTATTTGCATTTCTCTGATGATCAATGGTGTCGAGCATCTTTTCATATACCTGTTTGCCACTTGTATGTCTTCTTTAGAGAAATGTCTAATTTAGATAATTTTAGAATCAGATTATTACATAATTTTTCTACAGAGTGGTTTGAGCTTTTATATATTCTGGTTATTGATTCTTTGTCAGATGAATAGTTTGCAAATGTTTTCTCCCATTCTGTGAGTTGTCTCTTTTTTGATTGATTCCTTTTCTATGCAAGAAGCTTTTTAACTTGATGTGATCCCATTTTTCCATTTTTGCTTTGGTTGCCTATGCTTATGGGGTGTCAATCAAGAAATCTTTGTCAAGACCAATGACCTGGAGAGTTTCCCCAATGTTTTCTTTTAGCAGTTTCATAGTTTAAGGTATTATATTTAAGTCTTTAATCCATCTTGAGTTAACTTTTGTGTATGGTGAGAGGTAGAGATCCAGTTTTATTCTTCTGCATATGAATATTCAGATATCCTAGCACCATTTATTGAAGAAACTGCTCTTTCCCCAATGTATGTTCTTGGCACCCTTGTCAAAAATGAGTTCACTGTGGATGTATGGATTTATTTCTGGGTTCTGCATTCTGTTCTGTTGGTCTTTGTGTCTGTTTTTATGCCGGTACCATGCTGTTCTTGTTTTGATAGCTCTGGAGTATAATTTGAAGTCATTTGATGTAATTGCTCCAGTTTTGTTCTTTTGCTTAGGATATCTTTGGCTATTCTGAGTCTTTTGTGGTTCCATATAAATTGTATAATAGTTTTTATGTGTCTGTGAAGAAGGTCATGAATATTTTGATAGGGATTGCAATAAATTTGTAGATTCCTTTGGGTAGTATGGATATTTTAACAACATTGAGTTTTCCAATTCATAAACATGGAATATCTTTCCATTTTTATGTCTTCTTCAATTTCTTGCATCAGTGTTTTCTATAGCTTTAATTGTAGAGATCTTTTACTTCCTTGTTTATGGTAATTCCTAGGTATTTTATTTTATTTGTAGCTATTGTAAATGGCATTTCTTGATTTCTTCTTCATGCTGTTCATTATTGGCTATTGATTTTTCTATGTTGATTTTATATCCTGAAACTTTCCTGAATTTTTGTATCAGTTCTAATAGCTTTTGGTGGAATCTTTAGGCTTTTCAGAATATAAGATTATATTATGTCCAAACAAGGATATTTTGACTTCTTTGTTTCCAATTCGAATGCCCTCTATTTACCATTCTTGCCTGATTGCTCTAGCGAGAACTTACAGTACTATTTTGAATAACAGAGATGAAAGTGGGCAGGATAGTGGGCTCTCCTTTGGTCCAGGGCAGGTCAAGAAATCCTGTCTAAGAACCAAGGATTCCATAACCCCAAGATCTTCCTTGGTGTTTTACCCACACCTCTCCCCCGTTCCCCTCCCCTCTGCATCTGAGCTGGTATCTAAAGTGCAAGACAAAGTCTTTACTTTTTTCTCTCAAGCTGAATGAAGAGTCTCTCATGCTAGTTCCCACAGCTGGGAATGTGCTGGATCTCACCTGAAGCCAGTACATCTCAGAGTCTCACCCAAGTCCCATGCCATACACCTGATTATTATTGCTCTTTATTCAAGGCTCAAAGGCACTTTTGTCAGCAGGTAATGAATCCTGCCATGACTGGGTCCTCCCCTTAAAGGCAGCAGGTTTCTTTCTGGCCCAGAGTATGTCTAGAAATGTCATCCAGAGCTAGAACATGGAATGGGGGTCTCATGTCTCTGCCTAGTGCCCTATCCTACTGTGGCTGAGCTGGTATCCAAGATGCAAGACAAAGTCCTCTTTACTCTTCCCTCTCCTTTCCTCATATGAAAGGAAAGGATCTCTTTTGGAAGTGCTAGCTGTGCTACCTGTGTTTGTGGGAGGGGTGGTGCAAGCTCTCTGTTAGCCACTCCAGCTAGTGACTAAGTAGGTCACATGCTCCCCAGGTCCACTGGCTCTGAGTCCAGCTTGGCACTAGGATTTGCCTAGGAGTTGCAGTCCTTGTGGCCTAGACTGCCTTTCAAGTTTATTTAGTGCCCCACAGCCATTTACCCTGCAGTGGAAAGGCTTGCTAGAACTCAAATTCCTACTGCTGTGGTGGGCAGTTTCCTTCTGGATAGGGCTGGTCTTAATGCCCCCTCTGTGGGCAGACATCAGCTGAGTTCAGCCCAGTTTTGATTTCTGTTGTGACAGGGCAGCACTTAGTTCAAGGCAAAGTCACAATCGCTGCGCTCTCCCGCCTGCTCTTAACCACACAGACTTTCTCTCTGTGCCACACGGCTGCTGCCAGGGGATAGGGGAGCAGTGGCATCAGCAATTCAAGACCATCTTTCCTACCCTCTTCCATGTCGCTTTCAATGATAGTTAAAACCGGGTACTATGAAGTTTCACCTGGTTTTTGGTTCTTATAAAGGTGCTTTTGTGTAAATAGTTGTTAAATTTGGTGTTTCTGCAGGGGCATGATCAGTGGAGCCTTCCATTTGGCCATTTTGCTCTGCCCCTCTCTTGACACATTTTTAGTCCTAAGACATCACGCTAATTGCTCCAGTGTCATCCATTGCCTCCTGGGGAAAGCAGTTTAATACACAGAAGGAAAAAAATTCCATTGGGTTGCCTCATAAATATTTTTAATTCATGGAAGAGAAACATATCTTAAAATTAATACTTTCAGGTGCTTCAAATCAAAGCACTGAAATTGATTTTGGCATCATTGGAGACTAGCAACAACTTAACTCTTCATGGAAGAGACTGTGAACCACATATATATGTATCTCATTAAACCCCAGCTAAATATGTATACAAGGCAATTTCCACTTAACTGAATTGTCCCATAGTTGAATTATCTGACAAGAGGAGAAATGTACTGTAATGAAAGTCAGAGTGAACGGAGGCAGTTTTCTGAATCACTTGTGGTTAAATATCTTACTTTTGCAAATTCTTTTAAAAAGCATATGAGCATTGCTAAAGCTCCTCTTAGAACCTTGGAAGGAGCCTGAGCAAGTGAGAGGCTGTGAAATTTCAACTTCATTAGATTTACTATAATCCTGTCTCCAGGGTGACAACGTTACACAAAGTAGGTGAGCAGAGCTATGTTTTATTTCTCTAAAGCTGACATTTCCAGAGTTACAACATCAATCTTTCCAATTTAGGTAAACCCTGTCATATCAAGTTTATCACTTAATATCATTTGGGCAACTATTCTATTAAGTTGGCACTTTCCTAGGATAAGCTCTCTGGAAGTGTTTACATATGATCCTGCCATCAAGAGGAATATGGACTCAGAATCATCTTATATCCACAACCAGCCTCTTCTGAGGGTAACATCCCACTTGGTTCCTATCATCATATGTTTGCACCCATTGTTGCTGTCCTAGGTGTCCAAGGTTGCACCATATCCACTATCTGAACCTGCTTTGGACCTGGTGGCTCACTTCAGTCATTTCCAAGGCTCTCTTAAATGCTATAGAAACATTTCAGATGTTCCCCTTCATCACAATGTGTGATGGTGCCTGTGTGTCCACCACCAAGCATATCTCTTCGCATTTGCAATTTTGTGAGATTTTTCTAATTCTAAATAATCATTCAATTATAGATCCAGCTTTGCATTTATGATTTTGTGTCCTTTTTTCCTTAAACAATCACCTCCCCAATTACATATGCTTCAAGCCCTTGAAACCTAACTGACTAGAAATATTATCATACCTTTTATAGATGCTTAAATGCAAGCTCATTGAGAGCAAAAATTTTTCTTTTTTTTTTCTCATGGCTATACATCAACAGTCTATAGAGGATCTGAAATATACAAGGCACTCAATCAGTATCAATGAAAACAATGAAAGTCGTTTAAACTTTGTATTTCTAAACTAAAGAACCCTAATATTTTATTTGTTCTTATTCAGTACACTTACTCCATCCAGTTTCCTGTATTAGATTTTCCCCACAAACTGCATGATGTTTACATATAAAGAAATGTAAAAAAATTTTATTGGAACAACTGGTAATTTTAAAAGAATTTATTTTCTATCATAGTAAAGAATTCAGTGTGGAACATATGCAAACACAGGACATCCAAAAAAGAACAAGGTGAGGGGGGAAGAAACTAAAGTCAAAACAGGTAAGATATAAGAGGTAAGAAAAAGATGAGAAAGGACAAGGGCTGAGTGGAAAAACTGCTTAACTAGATTTTCCTTTTCATCTTAAGAGAAACTCAAAGAGAATATAAAAATTCAGCTTTCACATTTATCCAAATAGCCAACCTATGCTATTTCTATAGATAGATGTTTGAAAACCTTCAACCTCATCTTTATGTAGTATTTACTGAGTAACAAAAGCACCCTTAGGGATAAACAGTTAAAATGACAGGCTAGCTCATTTTATATATAGGTGAAAAGTAGCACAAACCACATGTATCAGAACTGGAATGCTAAGTGAAGCTGTGAAGTACAAGCAACAGGGCCAGAGATGTTACTGTTGCGACTAACTTCAATAGACTAGACTAAATAAATAATGAAAATTTAAAATTTGGGGCCACTGATATTAAAATTTTATGACTTAGGAGAGTTTTAAGTTTTAGAATAGTAGCTCTTACTCATTCAACTCTAACCTCAGATCATGCCTTAATTTTTTTTTTCTGATAGTAATAACGGAAACGAATACAAATAAAACTAAAGATTTAAAATTTCAAAAAGGAATCTTTTTTAAAAAAAGCTAGAGTAATTTTTTAATCCCTTTCTGTCCCCAGCATCCTTGATTTCCCCTGTAATTTGGCGTAATACCTCTTTCTTAGTGCTATGCAAGTCTTGTCCATATTGCTTATCTAAACTATCATCTTCCTTTGGGCTTGTAGGAACATTCACAGAAAGAGAACTCTCTTTCTTCCCAAGATGCTTTTTTTCCCCAAAGCTCACATTTCTATGCATAAATGCATATGTATCTATTTTGATGTATCTATGTTTAATAGCCTCCATGAAGATCAGATTTTCTGTAAAATAACTTTTCTAAATGTATATCACTCTAATGATTTATTTTATTCCTTTGGATAGTTTAACACATTTATACAACAATTCTTTAAATGTTTGGTTATACAATGATGCAACTCAACCTCAATTACATAGAAAAACCTAAACAGAGAAGCATTCTAATAAGGATATAGTGGGAATCCATAGGTTAGCTGGTTTATGTTATCAGTAAACTGCAGCTGAATAAAATGGAGATAACACCATCTAGTGCTACAAGGTCTCAAGTATAAATTAAGTAATGTCAATGAAAACAATATATTTGAAGTTCCTTGAGAAAAAGGCTATATAACATTTGAGAGATATCATTATTGATGATTAAGATACGTTTAAGAATTAACCTTTACTGAATATCTGCTATATTCTCGAGACACAGTGTGCTAAATTCTTTATAGGTATTCTTGTATTTAATTCTCAGAACTCTAAAATATAGGCACTATTATTGGCCCTGTTTTTCTGATAAATAATTGAAGCAGAGATCGTTTAAATAATTTGTCCAAGGATATACTGCAAGTAAATTTTATATTCAGTAATTAAAACTCAATCAATCTAATTTTGGAGAAGAATTTCTTGAGTCCTAAACAAGTGTTTCCCAACTTGGGATAAATTTAACTATTTCAGTGGTTTTTTTTATCTTAATGTGTATTCAAAAATATAGCATATTTAGCTCATGATTTTACAGATATGATTTTTGAGACTGAGATTATAATAGACATTTAATTTTTAAAAGTGAATTAATTTAAATGTAAGTATTAAACAATAGTCAAGGTGATACTCAGATACAGTAAAATCAGGAAAGCGGTACATGATTGAATTTGGGGAAATTTGCCAATGACCTGTTATGCATCTCTAGACAGCAGCATAGGCAAGTGTGTTCTATTCGGTGCTGGTACTAGGCGAGATCGATGAGCTGATTTTCAGTACCTTCAACATTTCAGGAATTCCTCATTAACTGTGTGTCCTGATGATACTCTTTAACTACTAAGGTACCATTCTCTGTGTATCTGGTATTCATCGTCTCTCTCCAAATTTATCTGACCTATATTCATTCCTGAAATGTCATGCTTCCTGGGATATTATCTAATAGGTTTCTTCTACAAGCTAAATTTTTGTAACAGCAACATTTATTACCTAAACCGTAGGAGTGAATAATTATACTTATTTCAAACATTGTGTCACAGCCAGGACGTTAGTTCCAGGCAGAAGGCCCGGATTCTCTTGATGCTCCTTAAATCATACCAGGCCAATGTGATGTCAAACTAGTTGTGAAGGTGACGCTCCTTTTATTACCAATAGGAGTAACAGTGTTTTGAAATACAGTTGACCCTTGAACAACATAGGTTTGGACTGCATAGGTTCAGTGTATGAGGATTTTGTTCAGTAAATATATTGGAAAAAATTTTGGTGATTTGTGACAATTTGAAGAAATTCCTAGGTGAATTAGCCTAGAAATATCAGAAAAAACTAAGAAAAAGGTATGTCATGAATGCATAAGACATATGTAGATACTAGTGTATTTTATAATTTACTATTATAAAATATACACAAATCTCTTGTAAAAAGTTAAAATTTCTCAAAACCTATGCACACAAACACAGACTGGACATAGTGCCATTCACAGTTGGCAGAAATGTAAACAAACATAAAGACGCAGATTAGATCATAACTGCATAAAATTAACTGTAGTCCATAGTGTACTACTGTAATAATTTTGTAGTCACCTCTTGTTGTTATTGCTGTGAGTTCCAGCGTTGTGAGTATCCACTTAAAACACCACGTGACACTAGTCATCTCCACCTGAGCGCTTCATCTCTCCCATAAATTGCATATTGTGGTAAAACATGATCCCTCTCCGTTCTCTCCTGTTTTTCATCGTGTTTAGTGCAATACCAGAAACCTGGATTAACACCATGGGACCAGTATGAAATGCCACTGGTGATGCTGAAAGCGCTCCCGAGAAGCAGAGAAAAGTCATGACATTAGAAGAAAAAGTTGGATTCCTTGGTATGTACGCTATATCGAGGTCTGCAGCTGTGGTTGCCCACCATATCAAACTGACAATTCGTCTTGTATACAGATGGTGTAAAATTACACCAGGGATAAATACAGTACAGCATTGTAAATGTATTTTCTCTTCCTTATGGTTTTCTTAACATTTTCTTTTCTCTAGCTTACTTTATTGTTATAATACAATATATAATAGATATACAAAATATGTGTTAACTGTTTATGTTATTGGTAAAGCTTCAGGTCAATAAAAGGCTATTACTAGTTAAGTTTGGGGGCAGTTAAAAGTTTTATGCAAATTTTTGAACGCACAGGGGGTCAGTGCCCCAATCCCCACATCTTTTAAAGGTCAATTGTATATGTTTGTTTGATCTCACAAGAGAGACAATGTTTCCACTTAAATAGGGAATTAAGTTTCATGACGACTTCATTTGATTACTTAATTTCAAGCCTCGTCTGCAACTGTGAATATTTACTGAGAGTCCGTTGTGTACCAGCCACTATTTTAGGCACTGAGGATACAAAGAATAGAGAAACAGTCCCTACTTTCAGATATTTTATGGAGTGTGTGTGAGTGAGTGCGTGTGTGTGTGTGTGTGTGTGTGTGTGTGTGTGTGTGTTCTGGAATGAGATGGAGTAGGAGTAGCAACCAGGGCTAGCGTGGACACAAATGAATAAGTGTGCTGTAGCTCAGTATGTTCTAGGGTAGCATGCTTAGGCAGGGAGTGTCTTTTGGTATAGGGGAGGAACATTATGTCACTGAGTCCATGGATGCTTAAGGAAGGGTTCCTGGAGGAAGCATACTTTGAGCTGAGTCTTCAAGAAAAAGTAAGGGTCAGCCAAAAAAACAAAAATGAAAAAGAACATTTAGGCCAGAAGAAACAGAATGAGCAAAGACCCGGAAGACAAAGAGAGCTTGTCACTGTTGGGGAAGAGCAAATAGGTCACCATGGTAAAGATTACCTGGAGCTGGAATTTAATCCAAACTCTTTCCTCTATACTATGTGATTCTGTACGCTCCTTATAGGATACAAGCCCAGAGTGTGGAGATATAATCAGAAATTACACCCCTTGACATGAAAGTTAATGATCATTAATATAAAACTAATGAAATTAACTACTGCATTTAGTTAATGGCCCACTATTTAAAATTCCAAAATTCCTCAGAAAGATACTAAGTTAAAATGTAATTAATGTAATATCAGGTAAAATCAATGTGAATTTGTTTATTTGTTCATTTGTTCAACAAATATTTATTAAAGACCTATTATGTGTTAGGAATTATGCTGTTGCAGATGCACTGATGAGCAAGCTATGCCCTGTGAATCTGAACACATGACAATTTTATAACAAAAATAGTCTGCCTTGAGCCTGGAACACAAGAGACAAGACAAACAGCAAATATTGTTCAATATAATCCTGGCCTTATTTATCAGAATGGGCTGCTTGGAGGTGTCCTGGTCTGCTCAGCAGGTTTATCCTTATCTTTAAGGTGGGCACGTACTGTTGATAAGAGTATTTCAGAAAATCATCCAGTATCTTTATTTTGGCTCTTCGTTCATGAAAATACTTTCTGACAGTAATTTTGATTTTCCATCAAGAAATAAGATGTATTAAAACAATGAGCAAAAAAACAGCTGTAGCCTACATCTCTTGCCTATCCTAATCCTTACTTTTAGTTAATAATACATTATGTCTGATCAACCAACACTTGTGCTTTAGCACTTATGACTATTCTCTGGGACGTGAGATGTCATCACTGCTATGGGAACTGACAGGGCACATTTCAGAATCAAACATTCTGTCTGAGGGAGTCAGCATAAGAGGAGGTTAGTCTCTGTGGCTTATCGTCTCAGCCACTGCCTTTCCCTTTATCTTATATTAATTGCTCCAGGCAGTTTATTATGGACATTCATACAAAGAAAATAGAATAGCACAATAAACTACCATGTACCCAGAGTCCATGACCAAAAAATATATTAGTATGTAGCCCTAAACAATATCAAAACATAACCTCAATGACAGTGATTATTTAAAAATGTACAATAGCTCCTTAATGTCACTGAATATTTACTTAGTATTAAAATTCCCAATTATCTCATATATTTTATTTTTCTTGCTGCTTATTTGAATCAAGATCAAATAAGGTTACATCGCAATTGGTTGATAAGATGTTTAAGTCTTTATTCTGTAAGGATCCCCTGTAAATTTGTTTTCTCACTTGCAATTTAAATGTTAGAGGAGAAAAAAAAAAAAAAACCTAACTGCTGATTGCATCCCTGTAGTGTCATTTGACATGTTCATCAGTCATCTGTATTTCCATAAAATTAGCATTTGGATCTAAAGCCTTCCTCAAAATCAAGTTTCTCTTTCATTTTATTTATTTATTTTTGACAAGATTACTTCAAAGACAGAATGCTTTTTCAAGAGACACGTAAAGTCTAATCATTTCTCTTTTGTGTGATGTTAGCAGCTATAGATCCTTAATGCTAGACTCTAAATAACTTTTAGATGAATCAACTTATAGTTTTAACTATCTTTCAAGGAAATCTTATATCCTCCATACCCTTATTAACTAAATATAGAAACAAATCATTTTATATTATTTCTTCTTTTTCCAAGAAAGAGACATAAATAGAGAAAGAGAAAGAGAAGGAAGAAAAGAAGTGAGGGAGTGAGGAAGAAAGAGGGATAGGGAAAGAGAAGGGTGAGGGGAGAGAGCGAAATATCACTGAAAAGAAAGAAACATTCTTAGGAATCATAATTCACAGTAATATCTGGCAAGTTATTTCATTGATGCTATAGAAATTCTGATGAATAAAAGCCATTATCTTGATACAAATGCTAAAGTACACAACTATTTATATAATTTCAAGTCTCATAAGACTTCAACACTATGAAGATTATTTCTCTAACTTGGAAATTGTTCTATTTATATCTGCTAACCCTGAGATTGAACACAGTGAACCATGAAAATGTCCCACTATTAAGGTCACACAGGAAGTCAATAGCAGAAATGAGAATGTAACTAACTTACATATGTTGACAACACTTAACACAATATTATAAAATCTTTCTTTAACTAAGAAGCGCCAATAGAGATTCAGTTAAGGAAGAGTTCAAGTTGGGTCAAACGGTTTAAAAAATAGCTCAAAAGGTAGGCAGTATTTTATTTTAGCCTCCATGAGTGACTCAAATGTTGAGAGGGAGATTAGAAGGCACTGAAAAATGGAAGGTAGTGGAGTGGAAATGGAGAGTGGCCTAGTTTGGATAGAGTGAGGTAGAGTAAAGCTGGATGAAAAGCTTGGGAATGTGGATGACGACCGTATTCTCATTAGTAGTCGAGTATACCAGCTTTGGAAATAAATAGTCTACAGTACAAATTTTAGCCCAGCCTCTTAAGTAGTGGTGTGACTATGTTAGTCTGAGTCCTCTGAGAAGCACATAACAAGATGTAATTGGAAGTGCAAGAGATTGATTGGGGAAAACGCCTATGAGAAAAAGTGGGAGGGAGCCAGAGAAGGTTGAGAAAGTTGTCAGACCGTAATGTAAGTCTAACCCCTGTGAAGGAGAAAGAGAAGGAGGGAAAGAAGGTTTTAGACAGCCGTGTAGCTCCAGTAAGTTTCAACAAACTTGACAGGGTGCCCTTGAGCCGAAGTCATTCATCTGAGGAGTCTTGTATCTCCCAGGATGATCCTGCATTAGTATCCCAGCTGCACTCTGTCATTGGCAAAGAGCAGTCATGGAAATTGTGACCTTGGTGCACACATGGTGATGGATTTTAGAGTCTAGTAGCTGGAGACATCATGCATTACACTACCCACTGTGAAAGCTGCATTTTTTTGGCTGTTAGGATGGCCCTGAGCAACTAACTTTGAGTTGCCATTCCATCATTTACCAGTGGGAAATAAAATGCTTATTTCATTGAATTGTTGACAATTAAATGAGTACATATCTATAAAGTTGGTAAAATATAGTATAGAAGTTGTGGTTTCTGACATGATATTGGTGACTTTGATGATAATGGTAAATAAATGTAGGGTTAAGAATTTTTGTTCAATGGGATTAGAGATCATGTAATGCATAAAGTTTTCTTGGCAGAAGAAGTCACCATTTCCCATGGGATTTAGAGGTTAAGCAGTGGTAAGCAAGTAGAGGTTATTACTAATCTTTATAAAAGATAGAGAATGAAGAAATCCCATCAGAAAATTGTCACATTAAGTAAGGCAATGTAGCAGAGATAATGTTAGCTATAATCAGGGAAGAAGGGAAAGAGAAATACTATGGAAAATTATTCATCTGTGGACATGACATCTGAGTAGATGTGTAAGGCTGGAGGAATTTAAAGAACTTACTTGATAAATCAAAGCCCTAGAGAATATAGAACATTACATAGGATTGGAGCATAAGCAGAAGGATTGACAGTGGTTAAAATATTTCTTGTGCAGAATAGATAAATCCATAGATACAGAAAGTAGATTAGTGGCTGCCAGGGGCTGCGAGAGGGGGGAATGGAGAATGACTACTAAATGGGTATAGAATATTTTGCGGGGAGGTGAAAATGTGCTAAAATTGACTGTGGTGGTGGTTGCACAATTTTGTGAATATACTGAAAAGCATTGAATAATGCACTTTAAATGAGAGAATTATGGTTGACCCTTGAATGGCCTGGGTTTGAACTGTGCAGGTCCACTTATACACTGATTTTTTTTTTCAATAAATATAATTCCTCCATAAAAAGAATATTTCTTTCTGAGAAATAGTAAAAGGGAAAAGAGAGATAAAAGCTATGGAGTGATTTTGGAAATAAAAAAGATGGAAGATGAGTATTTTTATTTGTAAAGCCTTGAATTTCTCAGTAAACTAGGGAGCAATATCACCACTCCTCAACTAACCGGTAAAATAATTTCCTTTACTTGCTAAATTCTAGTCAGCCATCCTGTATTGATCACATTTCCCCTGCTGATGCTCTTTAAAATTTCTGGAAGATTTTCTACTCATTCTTGATGGTATTCATAAAATTATTCCATTAAGGCACAATTCAATATTTTATTGAATTAATTTATTTAGATTGAGTCTGATTACTTAGGTATCACGATAATCACCTTGGAAACATCTGAATAAAAGAACTCAATTAATTTAATAAATTATTTATTTACTCTTGCATTCCAGATGTAATGAAAGAATCAGTTTAATCCATACCTATGAATTTACCAGCTTGCCTTGTCAAATGAAGATATGGTAACAAATGTAGATGTCACCCATAAAACCTTTCTTTACAAAAATTAGTCTGGAAACATGATCAAGTAATTTACATTCACAAACTGTAGATTAAGGATCCATAGTGATGGCATTACTGTTACTTTATCTTTATAATAATTTTTACTCTGAAATGAAATTCTGATTTTTAAACAATTTAGAAATAGCTAATTTTGATCCTACTTACGCATTCAACATTATTATGCATTAAATTACTTTATTTTCTTGAAGAGTTGTATTTGTTAAGGACAGCCATCAATAAACTGGTACCTTGATTATGGTCTCCTGGTATATTCCCCCAGAAAAACTCAAGAGAAGCTGTGTGGTAGAGACATAATAGGACAAAGTTATTTATATAGACTTTGGTACAACTGTGACCTTTTCAAACCAGAATCATCCATGCCTGTCTTCATTAGAGTTGAGCCTCAACCAAGATAAAGTTCAAGTAACAGAGGGAACACATCAGCTTGACAAGACTGTCTTCAATATATTTGTAGTCATAATTTGCAAAATGATATGATGCATTTTCCCCTATCTATTTGACAAATTGGTGGCTTTTTTGAATTTTATTTCAAAAGCCACATGTGTGGCTGCAAAGCATCTCTGCTTTCTGGTAATTTTATTACAAACACTTAAGACTGAATGACATGCTGAATGGAGCACCGCATTTTTGAAAAAAAAAAAAAAAATACTTGATGAGAAAAATCATGCCTGGTAATTCGTGTGCAAGGAGTCAGATCTAGAATCTAGAGGGAAAAGTAGACGCACAGCCTGGGGAAGTCAATACTGGGGGCTGTCTTTCATGTTATACTAATCTTGACATTACCATTGTATTTGGCAGCTGTTACCCACACTCCCGCAAATAAATCTCTGCCATTACTCTCAGAGAAACTCCCCGTCATTCTTATGTGAGATGTCTTATAAATGTGCAAACAAGTATTCCTCTAATTAGAATAGGCATCAGATTAATAAGAAAGTTGGATTCTGAATCATCCCTCTGCTATATCCTAAAGCTTTTTGGCAGACGGAAAGAGGTGTTTCATCTCAATTCTTTTTGTTTCCTTGCAGTGTTCTCAGAAACTCCCACAAGACAATAAAAATGAGTCAACAGAAGCACCTCGTGGTTGACAGTGTCTTGTTGAAGATAAAGGTTATTCTTTATATTAATTTATAAAAGACATTAGGAGCATGTTCCCTTATAAGAGGACATTAAGAGCAGCCAGGCATGTATTCTCCTCTTGTCTGCTACTGACACCTGGTTTCAAGGAACTCTCAATCTCTGCTCAGACCCTCCCTTTATGGAGCAAATAACCTAAAAAGCTCAGGAATATCAAAAATTCAGAAGCCAAAATGCACTCTTATATTTGGGATATATCTACTCCTTCTTAAAATGAAAATATATCTGCAATAGTTCATAATTTATCTTAAAAGAGATGCAGATGATCAAGAGATTGAGACTGTCCTGGCCAACATGGTGAAAACCCATCTCTAATAAAAATACAAAAATTAGCTGGGCATGGTGGCATGCACCTGCAGTCCCAGCTACTCGGGAGGTTAAGGCAGGAGAATTACTTGAACTCGGGAGGCAGAGGTTGCAGTGAGCCAAGATCGTGCCACTGCACTCCAGCCTGGCGATAGAGTGAGACTCCGTCTAAAAAAAAAAAACAAGATGCAGATGGCAGGCTTAAAGGATAGTTATTTGGAATACATCTGGACTGACTGCATTTTACACACATATATACTCGTGTATTTTATACACACACGCACATCTCTCTCTCCATATATATGTATTACCAAACATCTGAGTTTAACTTACCTTATGTAATTAACTGTATTTGATCTTTCAGATTTAGTAACTAAGAACCAGTTGTTACCCATATGCAGTATTTCTTTACTCTGTGGTGCTCTGGGGGATGTGAATTTATAAAATTGCTGTTAAGTTATTTTCATTCTTGTTGGTATACTGAAAAAGAAAACAGAGAAAAAACCACACTGAGCTACATACATTCCTACTTCCTGGTCCAAATAATTTGTTGCTAAGAGACTGTAAGACTTCCTTGGGTTATTTTTGATTTCTTTTGTTTGTGGTTATGTTTTTGGCTTTCATATGTTTTTATTAAGTGTAATATTATCTGCTTTGCCTGGCTCTTCAAAGCAGAAGCTCAACCATAACAACGTGAGTGTTGAGAAATACTGTTAACAAGATCAAGATATATACACAAATATGCGCTGCCATCAGCCTTTCTCACATTGGGAAAGTATTTAGGAAAAAGAAGCAGAGTGCTTTGTTCAAAGCAACTACAAATCCATGGCCACAAGTGCCATCATTTTGTTATTTTCAACTTTGCCCTCTCTACCTTGCTTTTCACATTCGTTGATTCTCCTATGATGCTTTCTCTTTTTCTAATTTTATCTCAAATTCTCTTCTCTCTCCTGGCTGCATGCTTCTGTTTGTTTGTTTGATTGTTTGTTTGTGTTTCCTCCTACACCTACTCCTCAATTTCATTCTTCCTCATTTTCTTTAGAATTACTTTTTTTTTTTTTAATTATCTTACTCTTCCTCCTCATCCTGTCCTCCAGCTATTTGTTCATATTTTGTTTTTTCTGTAGGGGAGGAAATTAAGTGATTTATGTTCAGTGAGATAGAAAGGAGAGGAGAGGAGAGGAGAGGACAACAGAAGAGAGAAGAGGACAAGGGGAAGAAAGTGGGGGCAGGCAGGAGGAGACACATATGGTCCTTTTGAGTTATTTAGCTTCCAAATTATGAGAGCTGAGCTAAAGGTATTTGAATCTCTTTCCTGAAAGATGGAATGTCTTCATTGTCAGCTCAGCTCTCATATGTTGGAACCTCCTGATATACACACATTTTACCCAGTTATTAAATTCTAGATACTACTATGAATGGATTTTTCACATCAAATTACGATCCCAATTCAATTGACTTTAAGATAAGAAGATTATCCAATGAGCCTGATCTAATCATAGGAGCTCTTAGATCTGAGTCAAGAGGTCAGAGACATAAAATGTCAGAGATTCAAAATCAGAAAGAGTGGCTGCTGCTGTCCTGGAAGTAAACAAACACAACTGAGGAGCTCAGGGTGACCTCTAGGAGCCAAGCGTGGTCTCTGGCCAGCATTTAGTAAAAAAAATAGGGAGTGTCCCACAACTACAAGAAACTGAATTCTGCCAATGACATTAATGAGCTTGGAGGAAGACACAGCCTCAGAGCAGAATGACAGTGTGACTGACACTTGGCTGCAGTCTTGATTGCAGCCCTGTGAAACCCTGAAGAGAAAACCCAATTATACCATGCTCAGACAAAGAAACTGTAAGACAATAAATTAACATTGTTTTAAGCCACCAATTCTGTGGTAATTTATGGTGCATTAATAGAAAATGAATACATTTTTCATATATAGATGGCAAGAGAGCAAGAGCTTATTAAATAGATCTACTGTTGCTGTGTCAGGCCTTCATCTGCTAAAATTATCTTTAACAAAGAAAATTTTTTATGGTTTTGGAAAGAAATTAAAAAGTCTCAAAAGACCGGTTTAATTGCTTATAATATTTATATGTATAGGTATAGTTAATATAGATGCTGGAAATAATTCATTTTAAGTCCTTTAAATAAGAAATTTAGAATACAGGAAACTGCATTGAAAAAATTACTGTTACAACATCACAAGTATTCATTGATCTTAACTTCTGGATGCTCAGCAAAGGCAATAGAATCACTTTTGTTTTAAAATTACTATTTCTTTTTTTTTTTTTTTTTTTTTTTTTGAGACGGAGTCTTGCTCTGTCGCCCAGGCTGGAGTGCAGTGGCGGGATCTCGGCTCACTGCAAGCTCCGCCTCCCGGGTTCACGCCATTCTCCTGCCTCAGCCTCCCAAGTAGCTGGGACTACAGGCGCCCGCCACCACGCCCGGCTAATTTTTTGTATTTTTAGTAGAGACGGGGTTTCACCGTTTTAGCCGGGATGGTCTCGATCTCCTGACCTCGTGATCCGCCCGCCTCGGCCTCCCAAAGTGCTGGGATTACAGGCGTGAGCCACCGCGCCCGGCCTAAAATTACTATTTCTAAGTGCCTTAATGGAGAGCCTCAAAATACTGTGAAAAAAAACCAAAACTTGGAATCACCAGAATTTCTTCCCTTTCTTTCCCATTTTTATCCTTAATGGAGAAAGCACATGTCCACGATTTGAGGGCAAGGAATAGCATAATGAAACTTGGAGGAAGATTTCATTTTTTTTTTCACATTTTTCCCAGTGTACAGTTTGCTGTTAACCCATGCCTCTCCATTGTATGATATAGACGACACCTAACGCCCATTTTCCTCTTTCTTCCTCCCAAGAGAGGCCCATTAATCCAGAGATTCACAGTATATCTAGCTCTCAAGAAGAATTTTGATTAGTTTTAAGCCAGTCAGCAAATGACATCCCCTAGTCTGGACGTGGACATGTGAATTAAGTTTCCCAATCAGATTGAAGAGAAGAAATATTTTCTATGTTTGAAGGAGAAATTTCCCCTTTCCTTTTCTGCCAGTAGCAAATAGGAATTAATGCCACTGTGATGGTCACTGACAGCCATCCTGAAACCACTGGACAACCAGGCTTAGGAGGTAGCTAATTCTGAGGAAAGCAGAGGACCTGAGTCCTTCATTACATTGGGCCTCTCATTACAACACACCAGGAGCCCACTCTGCCTCTGGACTTCCAGTTATATTGGATAATAACTTTTTTTATTTGTTAAGCCACTTTGAGTGGGGGTTTTTCTGTTATCTGAAGCTCAAATATCTTAACAGATAAATGTGGGATCAACGCTCACTGTCAGTATGCTGTTCAAACTTCAGCTGAGCTTCATTCTCAAATGTAAAGCATTTCAAAGACCTGTAGAATTTCATCTCTAGTTTCCCAGGCAACTATTACATGTCACTCATAGATGTTCCGAAGCATACAGGTAATATTCCATCTCATCACCTCAATGTTAAATCCAGAGAAAGACAAATGAAATGGGTGCCAATAAATCCTCAAGGCTGCAGAGATAAAAGAAAAGAATGAAAATCCAGGATGCAACAATCTATTCTACTATCTAATCTCCCTTTTTCCACTCTTTGTTTTCATTTTTTTTTAATGCTGCTCTGAGAGATCCAAAATTAGACATGAATTTTCTTGAAGGTTAAGTCTTCTTTTTGCATTTGTTTCCAGGACACACCTGACCCTCACATACAAGAAACACTGCCTTCTGCAGGGAAAAGATTCAACAATTCCAAGTCCGTCATCTAAGATCCTTTACTCTCTTTTCTCTACAAGATAAGAATAAAATTCAATCACGGACCTAAGTAGGTATAATAGACATTAATATAAATCTTTTAAATACTAATACTCTTTCCTATAAACATCTATTCAATAAGGCTAAAAGATGAAAATAAAATCAAAAATTTGCTTTTTGTCATTCTGGTAATGCTGTTCTTCATCATAGACAATAACTTGGAGATAACTTCAAGCCAGAGATGGTAGCTTTGCTCATAGTTGCTTTGGATGGTAATCAAATGAGACTTTCGTTTATGTCACAGATGGAAGCTTGCAAGTCAAAACATTCAAAAGAAATGAAGATTTCTACATACCCAAGAACTAATGAGCTAGCCAGTGAGTGAGTCATTATCCATTTATGTCACAGATGGAAGCTTCTAAGTCAAAACATTCAGAAGAAATGAAGATTTCTACATACCCAAGAACCACTCAGCTAGCCAGTGAGTGAGTCATCATCCCTCACTTGGCCTGCTCTTTGGCTCCATACTGGCTTCTTGGCTCCTGTTCTTTACCTGCTACAGTTTTTGTCCACATAGTAGCCAGAATGATTCTATTGAAATGAAACAGACTATGTCATTTAAGCTCAAAAACCTCGAACAACTTTTCATCTCACTCAGAATACTATGATTGTGTGGAACCCATATTATATGACCTCTGGCTAACTTGATTGAATTTATACCTCACCATTCTTTCCTTCTCAAAGTTCACTCCATCAGCCCTGACTTTTTGGTGGTGAAACCAAGTATGCTTCCATTCACTGCCTCTGCACCTACATAGCTTCTGCTTGTGAAGCTCTTCCTGGAGACATTTACTTGGCTCACACTCTCCAATCAAGTCTTTGTTAGAATGTCCCTTATTTGCGTGTTGCTCCTACCTAATCTTTATAAAATGGCACCCTTTGCATCACTCTCCATCCCTTAACCATTTTTTCCTAGCTTTTTTTTTTTCCCACAGCATTTGTCATCATTGGAAATACTGCATAACCATTTATTGTCTATCATTGCCAATTACAATGTGAGTTCCATGACATTTGGAACTTCCTTTTGCTTGTTGCTATGTCCCAGAACCTAGAGCAGTGTCTGATACTTGATAGGGATTAAATAACTCCTTAGTCTTGATCATGCACAGAGAAGCACATATGTCTCAGATAATCTCAGCTAAGAGCAGACTGAAGTCTCCTAATATTAGAACCATTACCGACTTTTGTACTTTTCTAGGAACTAGTATTTAGCAAAATAAACAAAATATCGAAAAGCAAAAACAAAACTAATGAAAGAATAATGTCACTACGCTTTCTCCAGCATTTCATTCAAACACAATTATAACTGGGGCAAAATAGTATTTACCCTCCAAGATGCCTCTATGTTAGAGTCAACTAAAATTCACTTTTTAAGAAAGCTCAAGACCCTACTCTCTTCCTTCAAAATGTTTTCTATGAATCACTTGCAATTTGATATATTAACAAAAGAAACAAATTAAAATTTACATTATACCACTTCTGGGCACTGGGGACAAAGCTTTCAATTTTGATGTAATTGACTATGCTGTGATTCTTTGGATGCTAGATGACGAGTTAGTGGGTGCAGCACACCAGCATGGCACATGTATACATATGTAACTAACCTGCACATTGTGCACATGTACCCTAAAACTTAAAGTATAATAATAATTAAAAAATTAATTAATTAAAAAAAATTAAAGAAAATTAAAAAAAAAGTTTAGAGGCAGTCTCATACTGTTTCCCAGGCTGGAGTACTATGGCATGATCATAGCTCACTGCAGCCTCAAACTCCAGGGCTCAAGTGATCTTTCTGTTGGAACTACAGGCATGTGGCACCATGCCTGGCTTATTGAAAAAAAACTTTTTTTCAGAAGGGGGGTCTGGCTATATTGCCCAGGCTGGTCTTGAATTCTCAGCCTCAGGGGTCTCCCTACCTCAGCCTCCCAAGTAGAGAATGTTTCTTTAAGCTCATAGTACAAATATCTAGCATATTAATAATGTCAATACTCTAACTACATTTTGACCTTTGACTTCATCTATCTAATTAAGAAAATTTAATCTTTGAAATGAACTAGTTTCTGTTCAATGGTCCGGAAAAATAAATGCAAATGATATATTATCAAGTTACCTAACGTTATTATGCTTTCAGAGGTTTATTTCATTTGAATTTTTGGAGATTTTTTATAATAAATGTTTTCAAGTGACATAGTCTCAAAGTCACAGACTTTGTTGACATCTTCATTATGGTGTCTGTGTATGTGTGGGTTTATATGTATATATGTACAGACAGAAAGATAGGTATAAATATAGATATATAGATACATTTATATACTCCCTATATAGTCCTCGATGTGGCTCCCTAAATATTATATATAAAAATTTAAAAGCTAAGACATGCTAGAGTCAGTGGCTCAGGAAAGAATATTCTCATACCAAGGATAGAGTGCTTAAACTGAATCAGCACAAGTCAAAAGTTGAACTGTTTGGAATGTTCTTTGATTTTTATCAATTCAGAGACTTTTATTTGTTTTCCAAAATGTAATTGCAACCTCCATCTTACCAGTTGTTATTCTTCTTATAGAACAGGAAATTTCGGAAATTCACAGAGCACAGATTCTTTTGATCTATCTAGAGCTCATGCCCAAAGAGAAAATTTGACCCTGGTCAAAGGGGAAGATATGCCAATAAAGCAGCTGTCAACAGGAGTTGTGGTCTCAGGAGAGGAGCACAGGTTTTATTTAGCTCTAGGAGATACACACCTTGAAATATATCTATACTACATTTTTAAAAGTTATTGTCCAGGACCATAGAGCAAATGAATGAGAAGCTTTAGGTTAAGATTTTAGCATTCTTTATGCACTTATCACTACATTACAGAATATGCTTTGCCTCCAACTCCCAAAATAGATGCCACCAAGAGAAGCTGATGTCCAATAGAATCTAATGTTCAGTGATAAAGTCGACTCGGAGTATGCATAACCTCATGCATTAAACTTGTATTTATTGATTGATGCCTACTTCATGCTAAGCACTCTTCTAGGGGCAGAGGAACCAAAGTCCTGTCACTCAAGGAGTTTACATTCAATCATCTAACAAAATCCAAAGGCTTAACCAACAGCAGTACATCAGGCTTATCAGAGAAAAGAGAGATGCTTATGGGGTACTTAAATCTCATAAGGAACCAACTATAATGTATCCAGTTTTGTACCATCTAAAAATTTTCCTAAAGATTACCGAGGGGTGCTTATAAAAATGCAGACACTTTGGCCCTACTTGCCATTGAATCAGAATCTGTCTAATTAGAACCCAGATATGCATTCCAGGGTTGAACAAAAGGTAACAAGCAGAAAAGGGAGTAAAAGAAATGTCCACATCTCTCCCGTCTGCCCTTCCCGTTTCTTTGTTAGTCTGAATCCAAGTCCCTCTGGTGCCTCTCCTCCCTCTAGTTCACAGAGCTGAAAATGTGGTTCAGCTTGATGCAATCACGATAACTATAATCATACAAATTGCATATTCCACTCGGCATGGTGCCGCACAGAGAATTGACGGCCTTGGGCAGGGCAGTCATGTATCAAAGCTACAGAACCTGTGTAGAATTCTGGAAATGCTGGTGTTCTGCTTCAGTTTATGTTCCCTGTAACCTTGTGGTCTCTCTCAGTCGCTGTACCAGATAGCAGGTAATCCATCAAAAGGGAAACATCATAAACTACCCTTCTGCCTTTTTCTATTTTTCTACTTCTGGTTACAAAATCGAAATTGGAGGGAGTTTTGAGATAGCGTAGACTGCTTGGAGCTCTCAGAATCTTGGCCCTTGTGTTTTGGTCCTTAGCCTGTCCCAACTGAGGTTTTTTAATCAGACAGAATTCCTCTTTTTCTCTGAGCTATTCCAGAAAGCAATCACAAATTACAAAGAAACTGCATTGTAGGTCAAGATGCTTTTCTATTGGACTTACCCTAAATGTAATGGTTTGATTTCTAGTTACTAATCTTGTCTTATTAGTTATAATAAGTTTATTCTTATACACTTTTATTAATATTTTATTTATATTAATTTATTATATTAATATGATTAGTTACTAATTGACTTACTAGCTATGCATTCTCAATGAAATTAGTTAACCTAATGCTGCCTCAGTTTAGTTACCTGTAAAATGAAATATAAAACAATATTGTATTAGTTAGCTTTTGGTGTTTAACAAACCACCCAAAAGTGCGACAGTGTAAAACAATCATCATTTACTATTTTTCACCTCTGTGGGTGGTCTGGGTTGGTCTGATGTTTTAGGCTGGACTTGACTAACCTCAAATTGGCTTATTCAGACAAATATACTCATCTGGTAGATTAGTTGAGAACTAGCAGTTATAGAATAGCTTTGGTTGAGTTATTCAGTTCTGATGCACATGGTCTCTCAGACTAGCCTGGGTTTGTCCTCCTGACAGTGGCAGGGCTCAAAAAG